>NC_000002.12:107489618-107792648 GCF_000001405.40 Homo sapiens
AAGTTTCTACTTTGACTGACTTAAAGTGAGCAAGATAATAAGCTGTTTATTGATAATCTCAATGTGAACAAAAGGATACCCCAGTCAAGAACACAGACACAAAGGGGCTAGAAGAGGACAAAAATGATTAACCTATCTACAGTCCAAAAGTGAGGGATAAGTAGAACTAATCTATGCTTATAGAGTGGTGACCACTGCTGGGGAGGGGGACATGGAAAGTGTAGTGACTGCTGAAGCTCCAGACATGGTCATTTATTTTATGTATATTATACCCCAAAAGAAAGTTTAAAGAATAATTTACTATAGGAAATTTGTAAAAAAGAAATCTTAAGAAAATAACATCATATTTTCTGGAAGTAGCAATGTATATTTTTTTCAGTTTGAAGTTACACTGAACTTTTTAACTCTGTATTTAGAGAATAAACTAATTCGTATTTTAGATTTCCTTACTCTTTCTTCCAAATCCTATTTTAAATAAGCTTTTAAAAATTGTATGGTAGTGAGTGGGGAAGGGGAGGAAGGGGGAGGAAGCAAAAAAAAATGATATAGTAGGCATTGATGCTAATTTGCAACTCTAAATGCCTTTTATAAATCATGTTCTTCATTAAAAAAGAGAAAAAAATTATTATCTCTATTATCTGTTCCCTTCCCTACTTGAGAAACAAACAAACAAACAAAAAACTTGCCAAGGAAAAAAAGAAGCAGAGTCTTTTCTCTGACATTAGCATTATAACATGTTTACAGCACAACATCAGTTCTTTTCTGAAAATAGGTAAAATGCAAATGCATTAGGATGCTAAAGATTCAAGATATGACTACAATATGACCTTGGCAGACAAAGGTACAGAAAGGTAAACGAAGAAGCCACCATCCTGATCCCAGGATTATACCAATAATTCAGCAGTCAATGTGTTTTATCATATAGCCATGTTTCCGCACATAAATTATTCTAGCTCCAGTGCTGCTGTTGCCTATGCAATTGCTTTTAAAATAGAATGCATTCTTATGCTAAGTAAGTGTGCTTGCTGTGGTGCTGAATATCATTCTTATTCTGAGATTAGAATATTAAAAATAAATATTTGCAGCTCCTGTGATAATAAAAGAAACACAACATGAACTCCAGTGAAAATGTAAGACAAAAGAAGAGAAAACATTTAAATGCTGAACTTATAAAGAAGACAAAGAACAAAAGCAATTGCTTGACGTTATAAAACCCACTGGCTTAAAATAAATTGTTTGCTGAGTAGCAATTTTCTCATGGTTTTAAATGAAAAGTAAACCTATCCCTTTTTTCAAAAAATTAGATATATCCAGTCTTATGTAACAGCATAGAACTTTATTTTCTACTAATGCAAATAAATGTCCTTCACACCTAGCAGACCAGAAAATCACCAATGAAATCTTAGTTTAATTATTTTCCTGATAGCGACTTGGAATCGATACATCAACTAAATATCTTCTGCCAAGACTTAATCGCCATCACATTTGCTTGTTTTTATGTGGTTTCAAGCAATCAAAAGAGAGAGGAAGAAGAGGTAAAGAAATAAATTCATTCATATTGTAATGACAACTTTAAAAAATTACAGATTCAATTTGTTTCAAGAGGAACAAAGCAAGGAAAGGTAAATGAATTAAGAACACAAACCCGGGTATGTCTCATTTCTCTGGCATTCTTTTCCAGTGTTAAGAAAAACAGAATCAATCATCTTATCACACCTGGACTCCAACTTCACCTCCAAGATAAATAAAAGAGATGAGCATTGGTCCATGAATTCAGAATGCAATTATCTTCCTGATTTTGTCACCAGTTTGCTACGTGACCCTAGAAAGCTTACTTCCCTTTTCTTTGTATTATTTTATATCTTCAAAATAGAGATACTTTTATATTGTGCATGCCTTTTAAGAAGATATAGTGTGATCTCAGCCTGGTGTAGGTGGTTTTAGAAGTATCCCTTTTGTGTAGCTGGGGAATCACCTAATATGCTTTAAAGAAGAAGTGCATTCCATTAAGTTATTTATAATGCATATTTCCTCAAAAAATAGTATTGTGTTACTAAGTTTCATGAGGTAATCAAAGTTGCATTCCTATAAGGAAAAAATAAATTATCCAGAGGAGGCAACATTCAGATTCAGATTCTACTGAGATTTATTTGTTGAGCACTGAAAATATGCCTGGCAGTTGTTAGAAATTTTTACATACTTCATGAAAATTAATCTTTACAACAATCAGTCATGAACTTCATTTTTTTAACAACGATAATATCATTACTACCTTTTTTATTTTTAACAAATAAAGATGTTGGGGCTCAGAGTAGTTACGTGACTTGCCAAGGTGACAGATGCAAGGGACTATGCCAAGATTTAAAAGTGGGCTCATTTCTGTACATTTTCTATGCACTAACTCTTATTAAGAAAACAGGCACCCTCACAACAACCTCACAACAGACTTCCTGTTTTGAGAAGGCACCCAGCAGCTCTGGCTGGCAGCAGTTTCTTCATTTATTCAGCAGTCACATGTTTTTTTTTGAACGACGAGTCAGGTACTGCATTGGATACTGGCAATACAGCACAATCTCACCAATAGCAGTCTAACCAGCAGTCATGACTGTGATGGCTAAGTCCCAAAACAGAGGCATGTATGAGAGTCTATAGATGTGCAAAGAGGATTCTGCTAGGCCTGAGGGAACCATCCAGGAAGGCTGTGCAGAAGCTCCTTGAGGTTCCAGCAAAATAAATGCTTGCATTTCTCTGAAGTTCTCTAAGTTTGAAATTTTAGACTCTGGAAAATTAATTATGTCGCAGTGTATCAACTTATAATTTGTCATTAAGAAGTGAACTATATTACCATGCTCCAGAAGAGCTGGTCAAACGAACACAGGCAGGGTGGTGCCTGGAACACACTTCCTTACTGAAGCCTCCATTTTCTTTGGATAGCTGGTTCTTCTCCTCACAATGAAGGGCTGAGATCAGTGGACTTCACAGGTTTCTTTGAGTTGACAAATCCCCATAAATCTCTGTATGAGAAAGCTGATGCCTCTTTTCATGTCAATCAACATTCAATCTTATCAACGTCATCAATATCTTTATAATAATATTTCACCTACATTCAAATTAATAAGCTTTATTCACAATAAGATGGAATGATTACAGGTGTTAATTTGTAGAGTTGCTGATCTACCCTGAGTTCCTTTTGTGTCTGGCCCACTTCACAAATAGCACAAGCTTTCAAGCTACCATTCTTGTCTGCTTTCTCCCCAGGTTTCTCTTTAATACCTAAATACTGAGGAGCTTTAAAGGGATAGGTAAATAGATGAAGAGGTAACTGGGGAGAAGAATTAGGCATTTTAATTTGTGAGTTTTCATTCATAACAGCTAAGGCAACGTTTTTATGCAGGGTTCACAGCCCAGATTCTAGCCCAGAAAAGCGTACTTACAAGAACCAGAGATCACTGGAGTCTGGGAACCAAGAAGGAAATAATGACAGGCTGGTGTTAACAGAAAAAAATGAACTCTGTCAAATGTTTTAGAGGCTTACTCTGAGCCAATATGAGTAACTGTGACCCCAAGAAAAACACAAACCCAAGAAGCCTCGAGTAAGTGGTACTGAGGTGGTCACATCACCGTTTTGGTTTTACACATTTTAGGGAGGCTGGAGTTACACAAAGACCTAAATCAGTACATGGAAGGTATATATTGGTTCAGCTGGAAAAGGTGGGATATCTTGATGAGCAGGCTTACAGGTTATAAGTAGACTTAGAGATTCTTTAATTTGCAATTGGTTAAAGGAGTAAGGCTCTGTCTAAACTCTGACAGTCAGCAGAAAAGAATGCTTTGAGATAAGGATGCTATATGGCAAAACTGATGACCTGCAGGTGTGACCTAACCCTTGCCTAGCATGGCCTTAGGTCCTGTCTTTAATGTGGTGTCTTATTGCCACAAAAAGCCTATTTTATCCATCTCATGATCTCTGTTTTAACATTAATACTGGTCAGTTGTGCTTGACCTCCAAAAGGGCGGGGGTTTAATGAGGCATGTCCGGCCTCCCTTCCCTCCATGCCTAAGAATTCAGTTTTTTAGGTTTTCCTGGTGTTCCCTTGGCCAAAAAGAGGTCCATTTAGTTGGTGGGGTGATGGAAGTTTAGGATTTTATTTTTAGTTTACACCGGATATGAAATCTGAAGCTGTTTTGATTTTCAGGCTCTCAGAGCCTGATCCTTTTAGCCATTTAAAGAAAGAGCTTGGCAGACTGCTGATCAGATGTCTTGAGGGCTTTGCTTCACTCCGGGAATGATAGGATTCTAGTGAGCAAAGAAAAAGAAGAACTGAGCATGATAATTTTGCCTTAGAACCATGGTGTTTCTGACAGGATGCCGGAGTCAGAGCAGTATCTTAAGCTACCTTGGTGACACAGCTGAGGGAAAAGGGAAGAACAAGTCCCGGACTGTGCTCAGGGTGTCATAGATTTATAGCACAGGGAGTTGTGCAGATTCTCAAGTGAAATTTTTATAAAGTCTATTTATTTGAAGGAAATGTTGGCATGTATGGGGGAGTTAGCTGCAGGCATAGAGCTCTAGTGATCCCCCGGGTTAAACTGGTTGTTTGATTAGCGGTGGTCATCAGAAAGCTTGCAGGCCAGTTTGATTCTTAAAGAAGTCTTACCTGGTGCTGTAGGAAAATCTCAACATTCAGATAATACAAACACAGAAACATAGAATTTTTGTTTTAGTTATAATAGCATAAAGGTGATGTTTTAGCTGACTCTATGGAATCTGTTTGTAAAAGAACTAAATAGGGAACCAGAAGAAGGAGTAGAGAAAGAAGTGTAAGCCATGCTTCCCACAATGACTGTCTTATTCCCTTCTCAATTCCGGGTGTGAAGGTCAGGGCCAGGTGTTTCACAAGGGTGCACTCAGGGCACAGGTGTTGACTGGGGAACAGAGGCAGGGATAGTGAAAGAGGGAAAAGGAAGAAAGGAGGGAGAAGGAACGGAGAAGAGGGAAAGGGAGGAAGGAAGAGATAGAGGGAGAGAAGAAAAGACAGGAAAGGGAGGGAGGGGGAGACAGGGAGGGAGAGTGCACAGAAGAAGGGGAGGAAAGAAGAGAGGGAGTGGGTAGATGGCATGGAGGAAGGACAGAGGAAAGAAAGAGAGGAAGGGATAAAAGGAAAGGGGGAAGAACAGGAAGGTACAGGGGATGGAGGAAGTTGAGGGATGAGGAAGGAGAGAGGAAGAGGGACAGGAGGAAGGGAACAGAGGAAAAAGGGGAAGGATGGAGGGAGAGAGGATGCCTTTATCAACTTCTTTAAAGATGCTTATTTAATCTCTATTAATCCCCCCAAAATGCAATGCATTGGTACCTTGGAGACATTTATTTAGAAATTAGGTATAGACCGACAAATCAGTTTACCCTAACCAGAGTCAAGGCAGAGTGAAGCAAGGTTCTCAGCCCCTCACAGCCTTCCTGCCAAAGCCAGACCCCAAAAAGCTGTCTGCCTTGCTAAAGTACATTGCTAACTAGGACAGCTGTGGTGGAGAATGAGGGCAGAACTGATCTCAATTACTAAAGTGTAACATCGTAATTAGATTTTTATATATTTCTAGTTGTTTATGTGCTTGTAATCATTTACCCAAGTAACTTTTTACATATACTATTCTATGCCCTTGCTTTTTTTTTTTACCTAATATTATCACTGAGGATATTAGTTCACTTAATAATATAACCGGTGATAGGTATTTCTAATCTGCACTGTGTACTGTATTTTTATCACATACATTTCAACAACTGTGAATATCAGCTCTTGTTCCATTGTCCCAAATCCTTGGGGTTAGATGTAATACAGTATTCACAATTTTCCAAATTTTAGAAAGATGATGATAAAATTCCTAGAAAGATACGGGGATACACTTCTTATTTAACTGCTACTGCTATTTCTGCAATGTAACAAATGAATATTTACATTGGCTGGGATGAATAAAGACTTTACAAAGCCTCATGTCAACACAGAGCAGCTTTCAGCATCAAATAAGTCTGCTGCAAGTCATTTTAAAACTTCAATGTTTCAGAGCATTTGAATTTTTGAAGTGCCTACATGGTGTTGTAGATCTGTATCACACTACATGGAATCACATGATTTATTATCTATTCCCCAATAGATGGACATGGGTTGTTTTACGGTTTTGTTATTAAAAATAGCACTACAATGAACATTCTTGGAAATGAATCTTTGGAAAATATGACTGTATCCCTAGAGTGACTACTCAGAAGCATAATTACTGGGTCAATTGTATGTGACTTTATATTTGAATAAATATTGCCACATTTCCCTCCAAAGAAGTTGCACCAATTTCTTCCTCTCACAAGCATTCTAGGAAAGGGCCTCCTTCCCTGTACTCCTGCATTCATTGCTAGGGCTTCCATAACAAAATACCATAAACCGTTGGTTAAACTGAAATTTATTTTATTACAACTTGAGAATCTGGAAGTACAAAGTCAGGGTGTCAGCAGGGATGGTTCCTTCTGAGGCTGTGAGGAAGAATCTGCTCCCGGCCTCTCTCCCCACTTCAACAGCTTCAGGCATTTCTTGGCTTGTAGAGCCCTGTCCTCTCCATGTCATCACTTGTCTTTCCTCTGTATGTGTCTGTTTCTGTGTCAAAATGACCTCTTTTTATAAGGATGCAGTTGTATTAGGGCCCACTCTAATGACCTCATCTTAACTTGCTCTGCAGGGTTCCTATTTCCAAATATGGTCATAGTGACAGATACTTGAAGGGACAGGAGACTCAATTCAACCCATAACATTTTCCAACAGTGACTGTTATTCAGTTTTTCCAATGTGATAGGTAGAAAATGGTAACTCTCAATTTCCATTTGTATTTATTTAATTCAGTTGGATTTGAGGATTCTGTCTTAATTTTATTAACTTTTTATTTTGAAATGAATACAAACTCACAGGAAATTGGAAAAATGCACACATTGAGTCCCATAAACCTTTCAGCCAGCATCCTCCAAAAATGACATTGTATGTGACTACAATATAATATCAAAACCAGGAACCTGACATTGCTGTAATGCTGTTAACTAGACTACAGATCCCATTTAGTTTTTACCAGTTTTTACATGCACTCCATTGTACATGTAATAGGGGCAGGTCAGCGTTCCCTGCAATGCGATTGTGTGTATAACCACCACCACAGTCACCACAGTCAAGGTACAGAGAAGCACAAAGCAATTTTCTCATACCATCATTCACAGTGCCATCCACCACCCACCCCATCCCTCCCCCAAGCCTTCATCTCTCCAGTTCCAGCATTTGAAAGACATTCCATAATGGTATCATATGGTACCTTTAGAAATCAACTGTTTTTTCATTTTTTTTTTTTTTTTTGAAGACAGAGTCTTGCGCTGTCACCCAGGCTGGAGCACAGTGGTGTGATCTCAGCTCACTGCAACCTCCGCCTCCTGGGTTCAAGCGATTCTCCTGCCTCAGCTTCCCCAGTAGCTGGAATTACAGGCAAGCCCCACCATGCCCGGCTAATTTTTGTATTTTTAGTGAAAACAGGGTTTCATCATGTTAGCCAGGCTGGTCTCAAGCTCCTGACCTCAGGTGATCCACTTGCCTCAGCCTCCCAAAGTGCTGGGATTATAGGTGTGAGCCACCGTGACTGGCCAGAAAGCAGCTTCGTTCACTCAGCATAATGAATGCCCTTATATGGCTGTTGCATGTATGAGTCATTTATTCCCTTATATTGCTGATTAATATTTCATTTAATTATTTTTGATAGCATTATCTTTATATTTATATACATATACTTGTAAATTGCTTGTGCATGTCTTTGCCAGTTAAAAAAAAAAGTTATTATCTTTTGTTACTGCTCTTGGTTGCTTTATTTTTTTCATTTAGAACTTTATTATATGAAATTTATCAATCATTAATTTTTTAGTTTCTTGGTTTTCTGATACAGAAAGGACTGTCATCCAAAACTTAAAATTTGAACATTTGAATCTCTCTAGAATTGTTTTGTGTCTGTTTAAAGAGTGAGGTAGGGATTGGCTACTCCTTGGGTCTTCAATATGTATTTCTTGGGGCATATGCTGTGCAAACTTTTGGTCCAATATGAATATACACATGGATGCTTGCACAGGCAGTGCACCTGCTTGGCAGGAATGTGGGTTGTGAGTTTTGCTTAATTATGACATCAAACTCATTCAGCTGCTAAATATCATCTTCTGATTTCTGGGAAAATTGTCCAGGATTTCCAATCTAGGTGAAAGATGGGAGTTCAGGCAGGTGTAGCTAGACCTTGGGAAAGTGTATAAAATGTTAACATGCAAAATACAAGGTGTAGGATTGCAAGATGATGCAAATGTATGAGTTTCTAGCTAGATTGCCAAGGTCAATACACCTAAATCTAGAATAGAATTTTTTTAGCAGAAATTTCTAACCCTGTGACTAGTGATGTGGGTAGGGTAAAGTACAGGGTGTGAGGTCAATGGAGCTTCCACAGTGGTGTGTAGGCAGGCTCCCAGGGGTTAGGGCTATAATTCCACCTGCAGACACAGTGACTGGTCTGTCATGGTACTTATGCAGGGCATGGCTTGAAGCACCTTCAACACTAGGAATGTCCCAGTAATAGTCAGTAGATTAGGCTCCAATCCTCATTTGGCATTGGTAGCAAGTGTTTGGTGATTTTCCTCTATCCTGTTTTTCTGTTAGCCACATCATCTTTTCATGCTCAAGATATATTCTTATAGGGAAGTTGCCAGCACACATAAACACCAATAACAGGGAGAGAAACCATGAAGGGGCGTTGCAAAAGCCACATACCATACAAGGAATGGCTGATTTCCTCCCACAGATAATCCTTGAAGATCCTGAAAGACTCACGGGCCTCACAGTTGGAAAGACATCCAGGTTCTATCTATGTGAATCCTCACCTAATGTGTGCATTTCCTCCTTAGCATCTGTATCAGTGTAGCCTGACAGAATCAACATGGCTTTGAAGTCCAGTTGTCCTGGCTGCTCATCTCCGCTCCACAATTCACTATTATATGACCTTGACTAAATTATTTAAATTTCTTCTGTCATAAAATGGGGAGAATAAAATTATATGCTTCAAAATTTTCTTAAGCAGATTTGATTAGATAACTTAGGGAACGTGCTTAGCATAGTGGCAGGCACATGGTACTAAATGTCAGCTGTCATCACTGTTACCTCCAGTGTGGGACAGTTTTTTTCTCCTGAGGTCACCCTAATAACTTAGAGGCAAACTGCAGTCCAGGTTTACAAATTCACCGCCATCTGCTGTTGCATCCACAGTGCTGTATTAATCTCCTGAAGGGTCCATTTACCTTGTTTCTTTCTTTACAGTATTAACTGAACCCACTATTTCAGAAACATGTATTACTTACAGCCTGCTCCAGGCAAAACTAGCAGGTAAAATGGGCAATCTGAAAAGCTCTTTCCTAATACACTATTAGGGGGTGATAATGGCTTAAAGCTTCTGCCTTCCTGCTTTACAAAGTGCCCTCTATTCCTTCTCCTAAAGGAGTGACTAACAAGGGAATTCCTGTCCAAGAGAGGCTGTATGGGAAGAAGGGGTTTTTCTTTCCATTCCCATCACATCACACAGGCATCTGCATTGCTATAAAGGACATCTGCTGTGTTTGCCTACCTAGCTTTCCGTTTCAATTTTAAGCGACTAGAACTCATCTTTTCCCTTTAGGAACAATTCCTTCCTAGACTGGTGGGACCATGAAGCTCAGGCACCTCTCCTAGCCAACCAGAATTTCCCTCAACTGAGAACCAGGCCAGTGGAGGTGCAGGACCCAAGAGGAATCCTTCCTCATGTATCCATATGAACTCAGAAATGGGGAAGGTGTCTCAAGCTGGTCATGAACCCAAAGATCAGGTATGCCTGAGGATCATCTTTGCCATCACCTGTAGAGCAAGGCAGAGATGGGAGATGGAGTGAGTGAGAAACGTATTTTTTATGACATCTTTTAAGCAATCTAGAGACAGCCATGTCTGAAGGGAGTCATGGGCTATTCCGTTGCCCAACCCGGTAACATCTTGCCTCACCCACCTACCTGTCTTATTTTTCTCCTTTAACTGGCTTTAAGGGGATTGTTGTTATAAGCAACTGAAAGTGTTCTAATGAATACAGATGGATACAAGTGGATCTCTATTATAGAAGTGACAAGTTATAAAAATCTATTACCACTGTTGAACAGAGAACTCACAACATAAGCTATATTCTTTATAAGTCAGTAGCATAAGAAAGTAAAACAGACCTTATCATGTCTATCTACTGTGCACAAACCCTTTGATAGTTCCATTTGCTTTCTTTTAAAAGCCTACAATCCTCTGTAAATCAGACTATGGCTTCAATTCCTACATTAGTTATTCCCCAAATGTCCACTCAGTTTTATGTAGTTCCACCTTCCTGATGTTCCATGTGTCTGTAATGTCACTTCCTGATTTTTGTTTATTTAAAATTTAAGAGCTTGGGTTCTGGTATCCCAGAGCCTAAATTTTACAACTTACCTGTTCATTGCCATAGAGCAAGTGGTCCAAACTATCTAATCTTTAATTTTTTTAATAAAATAATTTGGAAAATTATAGTAACTGCCACATAGTATTGTTGTAAGATTTAAATGAAATAATAAATTAAAATTTTTGGCCCATAGTAAGTTCTCAGTGATCACTAGCTATTGCTGTAGTTACGACTGTATCTCTTCAGTATGAAACACATAGCCTTCATGTGATAGTATCTGTATTAATAATTATTGAATTAATAAAAAATGTCCTTAGTGTTAGAAAAATTCTTCAACGTATATTCTTCTCCACTGCATGGAAAATTACTTCTTGTACAGAGATATAACAATAATGGTTCAGACAGTGAGCGGACTGTGGAGTCAGACAAAGATTTCAAGGTTGGCTCTGCCATTTTTTACCTCTGGGAACTGGGCAAATAATTCGTCCACTGGGAGCCCCAGTTTCCTCACCTATGCTTGTGAATAATGAGGATACATACTCTTAATGTTCCTGAGAAGATTAAATAAGACAATTTAACAAGTTAGTTATTTGAGACAATAACCTCTCCCTCCCTCTCTTCAGTGTGTGATGTCTAGCACACTGCTTGGTATAGTAATCACTGGGTAAATAGGTAGTATTAATATTCTTTTAAAAATTGTCTTCTGATTGTTTTTTGGCCCACAAAGAGCAAGAAAAAGACAAAAATAAAATCACTAAGACAAGTTCAACTTGTCGATGAGTATCAGTATGTTTCTAATGCCAAAACTGTTTTTCTTGGTTTACATGGAATAGAAAAATAGAGTAGCAGAATTGCTACCAACAGTCATTGAAAAGATCAACTATTTTCCATGGCTGCTTAAAGTCACTGCTATCCACTTTTCACTGGAGGGCTTTCCAAAAAATTGTTCCCTGACATCGACATCTCTACTTTGCTTCTTTGCAGCTATACAAATCACATCAAAGCTTAAGTTACTTTAAATCTTGATGACAACCCCCCACCCCTCCTCAGGTGCTTCATCTGTGCTTAGTTATGCGGAGAATCACCTAGGCTCAGTATTTCTGTTGCATCAATAGCACAACAAGGTCAAGATGAATTAAGCCATCCATTCAAGCACACAGCCAGAGTAACATAAATTCCTCTGTTAAGAAAGGACAAATGTTCGATGTTGCTGATAGTCAATTAGGCATGCAGTTCCTGTGAAAAACTCATTACAGGTATTAGGGCTGGGAAATGATAGGGAAGAATGGTTCACACCATCTTTAAAAGGCCCAGGCCACGTACTTAATTTTTGAAGGAGTTCCTGCTGAACAACTAAGATGACTGTACCTGGGAAAATTCGCCTATTCTCTAACAACTTTCTTTCATTTATAGGATACTATACTTTTTATGTTTCAAATCTGAAGTGCATTAAAAGTGGATAAACTCCGGAAGCAAGCAGTCCATGAGACCCCATGAGATCTAGTGCTTAGCACAGTTTTCGGCTGGGTGAATAGTTCTGGGGATGATGATGTCGATGCGGGCGTTCATTGGTTTCTTCTAAGAAGCCCAGATACTACAGACAAATCTGATGAGTGCAATTCTATTTCCATAAATGTCTGACCCAATGCAGCCAAATTAAGCAACATGGATAATTTGGAGATGTATTAAATGATAATACAATATTGGAAAATTAAAATCAAATCATTTCAAATTTTTGAAATTTCAGATTTGTGGAAGTTTATAAAGTTGTAATAAATGACAAAGATTTAATGTAGTAATTAAGAACATGAGTTCTTTAGTCATATTGCTTGGGTTTGAAATTCTGCTTTACCACTTTCTAGCTGTGTGAATTATTTATCCTCCCATGCCTCAGTTTCCTATTTTCTAAAATGAGATAGTATCTCTTTATAACAATATTGTGAATATTAACTATATATGTAAGGTATCTAGTAGCTGACACTTAGTAAGTGTTCAATAAATGTTAGCCTTTGTTATTTTGAATTAAGAATTTAATGCACAATGCCTGATTACTACGGAAAACTCGGTTATTCTGCATTCTTGAGGTGAGATGAAGTGCTATTACACACTGCCCATGTGATGCCATTAAAATGTGATTAAAGATGCCGCAGATTGGCCTACGTGATCCTACGACAATAGATTTTCAGAGGATTATCAAATATAAATGAATATTTTATGCTCTCTATTTATGACATCATTACCCATGTTAATCAAGAAAAGCCTTTATGCCCCTCCTGGTTTCCCATTAGCCAATAAATCTTCAACCTCTGTGGAAGTGATTAGAACAAAGAGAACTGTGGGCAATGTGTTTTATTCCTTCCATAGACACTGAAAAACATTGAATGGGAGCATTTTAGAAGGAATCGGTGCATTCACTATTGTTTGCACTCCTTGTGAATGGCTTGTAAAAGCTTTTCTTGGTGCTCACCTAGTTTGTATGTCTTCCCATTGTCATTCTCCTTGTCTGGCCTGTCTGCATTAACATAAAATGATGGATCTCTCTTAACTCTAAGCTAAACTTCAAAGCTCATTACTATGTATGGGGTCTGATTTCACTCCAATTTAGCATTAGTAGTCTGACTTGTAGACTTTCTAAATGAATAACAACATTTTAAATGGCCATTTGTTTGCTATGTGCTAGTCCTTCCATTTTCATGTATCTGCCAACTTCCCTTACCAGCTGGTAACAAAGGACTAGCTCCCACATTTGCATCATGAAAGAAGTCTGTAATAGCCTGTCTCTGCCCTCTCCAAGTTAGCAGCAACACACCTATAGAAGCCAATGTTAAGGATATTCTACTACCCTCTGATCCCGTGTTTAGGCTACTGGAGAGCAGGAGATAATAGGGTCATGAGTGACCTTGGAAATGATCTAATATAGTGAGATCCTTGTCAACGTTTTCTTTCACTTTTAAGAAAACAGCCCTGCTGTCTATTTGGAAAATACAGGAGATGAGGTGTGGCTTAATCGTTGAATAAAAACCAGTCAATGTCAATGTACAATTTCTGTTCTCAGGAGATCTCTTTAGAGCCAGCAAGGGATTTGGAGAAAGGACGGCAGAGAGAGGATTTCATGCAGTGCAGCTTTCAGCATCACTCTTTATTTTTGTCACTCTGGGTGGAAGAGCTTCCAGATTCAATGCCTGCCATCAGTCTTCTTTTTGAAATGAAATTTCACATAGAAGGAGAAAAACATTTTTTTAAATCAAAAGTAAGGAGATAAAAGCAACCAAATGCTATTAGGAGACAAACTGGTTTCCAAAAAAAAGTCGGTTTGCAGGTTTGAAGCTGGGAACTGTCATTGCAATGGATGGGGTGTGTGAACAGAATGTCTTTGCCACATATTTTAATTGAACATTTTTGAAACAGAAACAAATGTCAAAAAACAAAAACAAAAGTAAAAGCAAAAAAGAAGTATCTTATAACTCTGTGGCAAAGTATTCTAGTTCTGAGGTTGTTAAAACAGCTTCCTGGAGTTACCCTTCTCTCAAATCTTTTCTTCCCATCAAATGAGAAACAAAACAAAACAAAAATAAGAGAACTGGATAAAGAACTCCCAGGGTCTTGAGGCAAACACCTAAGTCTTCAATCCTTTCAATCCGCTTTCCCAGCTCTTCAGTTACTGAGTCCCCCTCTTCAGTCAGCTGCATTATTCATTTCTTCTTTTATACTCCATATACAAGGGTCTTTATTCTTGTTTCCTTCTATCATTACGATAAAAAAAACTTTGTTATTATTCTCTTAACAACAAAACATCTGCTTTCAGGGTAGCCAAAGACAAAAATGATGAGTTCTACCTTCTGCATTTTGTTATGTGATGAAACACAGAATTCCTCTAAGTCTATAAATTGCATTTCAAGCGACAGAAGAGTTTCACAGAGAGATAGAAAAGGTGCTGAGCAGTTTGCAGAGGGGTCCCAGTTGTCTCTATGCTGCAACTGTCTCTGTGTTTACCTACAGTGCCACTCTGGGGACCTGCCTTTAACAGTCTGTCTTAGGATCCTGTGTAGGGGTGTGGCAGGTCAGGTCTCACTAATGCAGGGCTTCATAACAACTGTTTCAGTACTGACTGGGTGATTAAGTTAAATATTAAAAGCTAAAAGAGCCAGTGACTTTATACAAAGGCTATAATGTAACAAAAGCCCACCAAGAGTTTTGCGAAGGCCTTTCCTGGGCCTTAAAGCATGACAAATAACAAAGGAATACTTAACAGGACCCATTTAGGATTAAACAAGTTTTGGCTGGGCATGGTGGCTCAAGCCTGTAATCCAGCACTTTGGGAGGCCAAGGCGGGTAGATCACGAGGTCAGGAGATCGAGACCATCCTGGCTAACACGGTGAAATCTTGTCTCTATTAAAAATACAAAAAATTAGCCAGGCATGGTGGCACATGCCTGTAGTCCCAGCTACTCAGGAGGCTGAGGCAGGAGAATCACTTGAACCTGGGAGGCAGATGTTTCAGTGAGCCGAGATTGCAACACTGCACTCCAACCTGGGCGACAGAGACTCTGTCTCAAAAAAGAAAAAAAAAAGTTTTGGGGGTCTGAAGAAACTCCCCAGGCCTCCACAAACAAGTTTATTAGGGGTCTAAAGGAACTCCCCAAACCTCCATGATTTAGCAGGAGAAAAGATAAGGGTAATCACGCTCGCACCTGGACCCACTTAGATTAAGTAAATTTACTGAGACTCCAGAAGAAGGTCTTCAGGGCTCAGACCTTAGTTATAGATTAAAAGACATTAATCACTTATGTCTTTATAGATGAATGCACACTTACATATAGACATATAGCTTAGAAGACATATAAGGTCTGGAAAACTTTGTAATTTTGAGTTGATCTGGTGATAATTTCCAGGTCTTCTCCCTGTAACTGGTTGTAGAAATAAACTCTCTTCCTCCCCAGTTCATCTGTATCTCATTATTGGGCCACAAGAAATAGCAGCTTGACCCTCAGTTTGGTCCAGGAAAGGGGGGAACTCTTCACATGATCTTTGCATGACAAGGAAACTCAGAAAAAACGAATGAGAGATAGGCTTTATCACAGGCATTTGTAATATTATTAATCTTCAGTGTCAGTGACAGATTAAGGACCTGCTGCAGTGTGATAGGATTCTGAGCACAGTAAATGCTTTCAGATTAGATGAGGCATCCTTAACTAGAAGGCTATGAAGAATGGAGAAGAGAGACCACGTTCTTGGTACCATGAAGTACTCTCAAAGAAACATCTAAACATCTCAACCTGTCGGGACATAACCCAGCCAGTTTACAAATGAAACTGAAGAGAAATGAAATGAAAGGAGAGGAAAAAACAAAACCACCAGATCTGCAGATTGCCAGGGGGCTGTCTCGGGTTTACTGCTCTGAGATCACATTCTCCTACCCTGAGCAAGAGCAACAGACATTGTCCTGGAAGCCTGGCAGAGGATGCCTGCTATTTTAGAGATGTTTTTAGTAAAACATCTATACTTTTCCTTCCTATTCTTCTATATCTAGTTTAATTTTTCATTAAACATCTCTCAAAAATTGGATATTGTCAGTAGTCCTCGTGCACTTTGACATACTCTAAGACTTTGGGAACCTCTAGGAATTGGGAGGAAGACAAACCTGGTTTAATAAGCTAGGGTAAATCTAAGCATTTCTTACTTCTTTGTCTTCTGCAGAGATGTCATTGACTTAGTGACAATGGCTGTTCCGTGCAGAAAAGACAAAGGCTTTTAGAGGTTCTCATTTTCCTTGGCAAGACATTGCTTTGTGTAAAGAAATCAAAGCCCTCTTAATCCCAGGCTTCAGTGAGTTTCTCTAAAAACAAAAATAAACTAATGGAATAAATGTCTAACATAGCATAAGAGAATCTGCCATTCTTTCAGCATTTTAACTCCTCTTACTGCCTTGCAAGCAGAGCTGTGTGAAAGACCTAGAAAGAGAGATCTCTGTTAGCAAAAGTGTTGGTGTTTCCTACGTAACATTCAGAGATTAGGAGATTTTAGTAAGAACTCTGGGAGCCAGAGGCAGGAATCACAGGCAAGAAATAACTCCCTCCTCTCTCTGAGGGGGAGTGATGTGGGTCTAGTTAAGTGCTATTTACAAATTGTGAAGTGTGTAGGAACTCACCACCCCCAATTTCCCATATTAATATCTTGCTAATGCAAGTGCAGTGCATTTATTACAATTTTTGAGCCAATATTTATGCATAATTATCTACTAAAAGTCTGTAATTTACATTGGGTTTCACTCTTAAGGAAGTACATTCTATGGGGTTTTAACAAAGTTTGATGCTGTGTATCCACCATTACAATTTCATACAAAGTCGTTTCATAGCCCAAAAATTTCTCTCTGCTCTGCTGACTCATTCCCCCCCACTTTAATCCCTGGTAATCACTGATATTTTTACTATATCCTAGTTTTTCCTTTTTCAAAATGTCACATAGTTGGCATATTACAGTATGTAACCTTTTCAGATTGGCTTATTTCACTTATTAATATGTGTTTATGTTTCCTCCATGTCATTTCATAGCGTTATAAGTCTCATTTCTTTTAATATTCCACTGTATAGATGTACCACAGTTTATCTATTTTCCTACTGAAGCACAACTTGGTTACTTCCAAGTTTTGGCATTTGTGACTAAAGATGCTATAAACATTCGTGTAGAGGTTTTGTGTGGATATACATTTTCAACTCATTTGGGTAAATGCCAAAGTGTGTGATTGCTGGCTTGTACGGTAAGAATATGTTTAGTTTTGTAAGAAACTGCCAAGCTTCTCACAATGTGGCTGAACCACTTTGCATTTCAGACACTTAAATAGGTATGGTGTAGTATCTCATTGTTGTTTTAACTTGCAATTCTCTAATAGCATATGTTGTTGAGCATCTTTTCATATGCTTTTTGCCACCTGTATACTTTATTTGATGAAGTGTCTTTTCAGATTTTTTTTTTTTGCCAATTTTTAATTGGGTTGTTTGCTTTTGTACTGTTGAGCTTTAAGAGTTCTTTGTATATTCTGAATTTGGGTTTGTTTTTATCAGAGAAGTCTTTTGCAAATATTTTCTCCTGTTCTGTGAATTGTCTTTTTATTCTCTTAAGTGCATTTTGCAGAGAAGGATTTTTAAAAAAAAAATTTAATGAGGTCCAATTTATCCATTTTCTATTTCATAGATCCTGCTTTCTCAGTGTGGTATCTTAAAAGTCATTTTCAAACTCAAGGTCATCTATATTTTCTATTATCTTCTAGCAGTTTCATAGTTTTATATTTTACATTGGTGTCTATTACCTACTTTGAGTTGATGTTTGTGAAAGGTCTGTGTTTAGATTTATATTTTTGCTTGTGGATATCCAGTTGTTTCAGCACCCTCTGTTAGAAAGACATTGAATTGCCTTTCCTCTTTCATCCAAGATCTGTTGGTTATATTTGGTGGACTATATGTGGGCTCTCTGTTCTGTTGTGTTGATCTATCTGTCTGTTATATTGATCTATCTGTCTGTTGTATTGATCTATCTGTCTGTTGTTTCACAAATACCACATTGTTTTGATTACTATAGCTTTATAGGAAGTTTTTATTTTGGTGAATTTCAGTACTCTGACTTTGATCTTTTTTCCATCTTGTATTGGCTTTTCTGGGTCTTTCGCCTCTCCATATAAACTTTAGAATCAGTTTGTTGATATCCACAAAGTAACTTGCTGAGATTTTGATTGGGATTGCATTGAATCTATAGAGCAAGTTGGGAAAAAATGAGATCTTAACAGTATTGAATTACCCTTTCCATATATGTAGAATATTTCTATATTTATTTAGATCTTCTTTAATTTTTTTATCAGAATTTTATAGTTTTCCTCATAAAGACTTTGTACTTATTTTGTTAGCTTTATACCTAAGCATTTCATTTTTTGATTCTAATATAAATGATATTGTGTATTTAATTTCAAATTCCAGATTTTCATTGCTGATATATAAGAAAGCAACTGACTTTTGTCAATTAACCATTTACCAAGAAACAGGCTTTTTATGCTGTATTTAGCACCTTACAGGCCAGTTATTTGCTGTTCTTACATCTGCCCTGCCTCATCCCTTGGCCTCACAATGAAATATGCACCGTTATCCTGAGTTGCTGCCTCCCTGTCACAGATACCAATACCTAGGTTATAAAGCTAACTTAGAGACTTTGGGCCCAAGACTGCAGTGGCGAGCCAGAAGCTTATGCTTGACAAGCCTAGTCGTGTGAGTATAGATGAATATCAGCATTTATTACAGGAAGTTTGCCAACTGCTAAGCTGATTATAGTGGTGATAGTGAATAAATATGTGAGTGTGTGTGTGTTAATGTGTGGAGTGGTAAGTTATGAGTGGATGGATTGCCTTCCACTTCAGCTCTGTATCATTTCTTTGAAGCAGTTTTGTGTTTGTTTGTTTGTTTTTGTTTTGTTTTTTGAGACGGAGTCTCACTCTGTCTCCAGGCTGGAGTGCAGTGGCTTGATCTCGGCTCACTGTAAACTCCACCTCCCGGATTCAAGAGATTCTCCTGCCTCAGCCTCCCAAGTAGCTGGGACTACAGGAGCACACCACATGCCCAGCTAATGTTTTTGTATTTTTAGTAGAGATGGGGTTTCACCATGTTGGCCAGGATGGTCTCGATCTCCTGACCTCATGATCCACCCGCCTTGGCCTCCCAAAGTGCTGGGATTACAAGCGTAAGCCACCGTACCTGGCCCTTTGAAGCAATATTTTAAGGTGTTTTTGGAGCAGCTTACATTAAAACCATGCCCACATGCTTAAGAAGAACATTAAAGTATATCAAGGCATGAAAAACTGCAGCTCCTGGTGGTCACTAGAGCCCTTGACTGTGTTTTCTCTTTCAGCCACAGTAAAGCAGTCCCTAGATTAGAAATGGCACTAAATAAGATTGGAAAAGGTCAGAAAGTATGTTCCCTTTGGATTTCAGCACTCTCAGTCTTTATCTTGTGTAATAGATACCCATTAATACATGCTTTTTCTGAGCTTTCTCCAGCATAAGCTCCTCTTGGGTCAGAAAAGTTAACCTCATTCAGTGTCAGGGACTGACACTGATATAAGTATAAGTCAGTATAAGTCAGGCTGCTCTGATATAAATATCTCCCTATTAATGCCTTAGTGGTTCCATCCCACAAAATGAAGCTTTAATGTAAAATCATATCCTGTGGCATACAACATATGTCATTTTAGAATTATTGGCTATTTAGGCTTATCAAGAATCTTGTAGTTTCTCAATCCCCTCATAGAAGTAAACACCTACTTTGTCCCCCCAGTGGCAAAGCCATTCCTGCTACTTAGTCATTAGGAACAGAATAAAATGACCTGAGAGCTTTATTCATCAACAAGTTGCAGTATAGTGTTCCCTGAAGAATGAATCAAATTCAGTTTTGCTTTTTGAGGTAAGCCATTCAAGAATGGCTGCATCATTACAAAACATCTTTGCAGAGACTACTGGGGCAATATAATTTTCCTTTGATTACTTTAAAAGAGCACATCTGAACATTTACTTCAAGTTCTTAAATACAATCCCCTTTTGCCAATAATTGAAAACAACACTTTAAGAAGCAGAATATCAGAATCTTCCAGCTTGAATATGGAAAGTGGTGCAAACATCATGTAAGACATACCATTTGTGGAGTATATAATGATCATATTAACTAACAACATAAACAAACACTATGAGAACATTGACAGCAACACAATGCAAAGAATTGCATGAATTGATTTAGTACTATTGTACTAATACCCTTTGGAAATATATATAGCTATTTAGATTTCACAGTAAGTTTGGTATTATGATAAAAGATAATCCTAAAACACCAATTTGTATTATTAGCAGCATTCATTATTATTCAGTACACTGGGTAAATTTCATTGTGCACTGCAGTGATTATCAAGAAGCTGTATGGCTACATGCCATTTGTCATATTTAAACCTAATTTTAGACTGCTCAGTCCACTATTTTTGGTAATATCAAGAGGGTAATAATTACCTATTTCTTTACAGTATATAGAAATAAGAAACAGGAGCTTTATATCAAATGCAAAACTTCAGTCTACATCAAAATCTGCCACAAGCCTAAATTAAGGACAAACAAAATTTAACAAAAAATGATACACCTAAAGGAATGGACTGCTTCCTATATATTTATCTTATCCATTTAATAAAGGAATGAAAGAGTTACTATTTGTTATTCAAGCACCCCAAAAGGGCAATGGCTATAGACAGAAATAGCAACCGTGTTAGTGCCACAACACCTAAACCATTTTGCCCATCTCTGGGAAAGTATTACCATTACTGAATAGCTCTTTCCCTGAAGAGTAAACTGCATAAAGAAGGTTAGAAATGGCTTGTAAGAGCTCATTCCTCCTTCTCCTTTTACTCCCTTCCTAAGAGACTAAGGGATAACTATCAGTCAACAGGTGTCACTGGGGTGTTGAATTAGAGAAGGCGAGCAAAAGGGCTCTGATACAGAGGCAGACTTTTTGATTTTTCACCTTATAGGCATCTTAGACAGTATCTTAGATGACTTTCTCATTTTGAAGATCAGGGAATGAAGATGTGGGATCTGAGTTGCTTATTGAGACTGGGTCACTGGTCTTTTAATGCAAAGTCCAGAGTTCTCACCACACAGGCAGCTAAGGAAAGGGTTTAATTTTCTCAGGATCCTTGATAACTTTAGTAAATAATCAATTCTCCGTATTCCATTGTATGCAATGGTTAGGAGTATTGCATATTCTGCCCATGGGTAGATAGAATGTTCCCATGGGCTTGGGGCTCTGTGGGCAATTGCAAGGAGGGCTGGCGTAAGCGCTGAGCCAGAATCGGGCCTTCTTTCTTCTTTCTTGAGTGTACTTAGTGCTGCTGCAGGCTCACTCTAACCATTTGCCTAATGGTATTCCTGGACATCCATGTGAGGCTTGACCTCACTCCCACTCAAGGACAGTCATCTTGACACTGTTTTTCTCCACTTTCTGTGATTATATAGATGGCAGCTTCCAACTTGAGAATTAGGGCTATGCTAGAAAACCTGTGATTTCCATTGCCCCAGTAAGCTCAAGCCTATTTCTATTTCTAGGGCTATATTAACCATGTCACATACACTTTCCCATGGTTACCTTAAGGCTACATTTCCCACAATATTTTCTGACAACTATTTCATGCTCTGTGGGAATAGAAAAAAAAATGCCATTATTAAATGAGTTTGGGCAGCCTGTGTATTCTACCTCCTGCTTTCAGCTGCACCTTCCAGGCCCTAAGAACTCCTGTAGGAAATAACCAAGTTTATCTCAGCATTTGCCAGACATAGATGACAGTGTGAGACCTTTCTTCATGTAACACTAACAACATCCCCTGGACTGCTGAACTGTGGGGCAAAGTGTCTTCCATAGCTATAAGGTTTGCACTAAACATTCTGAAGCCTCTGCGTACCAAACCTTCAACTCCTAATTTCATAAATTTTCTGCTAAGCCAAGAACAAGAGAGACTTCCCACCTTTCCTGAACTGGTAAATAGACAAGCTTGCTGTGTTTTCACCTTTATTTTAAAGGATGCTTGCTAGAAGTGCATGAGACATCAATTTTGGGGACAGAAATGTCCTATCCAGAGTATGCAGCACCACCCCACCACCAGCCACTCTTCCATGAGACTGGTGTCCTAGTGAATATCCCATCCTCCACCCCAAGAAGAGGCCTACATGGAAGGATGGATGATTTAATACCAGGGACACCCTAAGGAACACAGGCCGGGCTGCTGGTGTTTTTATACCACGCAGGGTTAAATACCGGCTGCTACTACCTCTACTGAACCAGGGCTGACTCTAGAAAGAGATGCATTTGGGGGCTTTATCATAATCTCCCATGGTGAAAATATAGGGAAAATGTCTGCCAAGTGTTTTCAAAGCAGTGTTTTTACTAAGTATGTTTCAGTGACACTTTGTAAAAGAAAAGAGGTAACCGTGAACAGTGCTCCACCTCATTAGTATTGAAATGTCAGCCCAGCCCAGCCCAGCCACGGTCTCTTGCCTAGAGATGGGCTTGACCCAGACACTGTATAATGCTGCCACTGGCCTCCTATGGAGAAGTAACTCATTCTTCATTGCCAGGTACAGAGATACTTATTTTTAGGCAATTTTTTGGTTAAATGTTTTCTGTTTCAGGATGCCTGTTCATTTGAATGGCAAAGGGTTTGCATAATCCCCAGAACTTTTGGCAGCCACCTTTGTGTGAAGCACCGACAATGTTTATAATTTTAAGGGGTTGCATACCCTGTGCCAAGTCACCTGATCAATTCTCTCGAAAAACAGACTTAAGGGACCACGTTCTTTGAAAATGGATGTTTGTATATGGTGGGGAAAATGTTGGGCAAGGTTTCAGCTCAGGCCACTTGCCTTTTAAATGAAGTGTGACTTTAGTGTCAGAAATGACGCAAAGCAATATGATATGGAATAACAGAAAGTCACCTGCTTCCCTGTGCTGCCCTTTGAGAGAGCTCTTAGCTTTCTGAAATAGAGGCAAATAGCCAAATTCAAATTTGATCTACTATTTCTTCTCTTTTCCAGGTTCAGTTTAGATATATTACAAGCCTCAATTTGGACTGGCATCAAGGCAAAAGAGCAGTGGCTTGGCAAACATTAATAAGTCATTTCTATGCTTTCCACTGATATTTCTGAAGAATTTGGCAATCAGAGTTTTGAGTTGTTCTTTAAGGAAACTCTGTGAGGTAGTAGAGATAGCATTAATAGGCAATGATTTGAAGGATTTATGCATTTTCCACTGTTCTAAGCCATTTGGGTGAGTTATCTAATCACAACCCTATGATATAGATACTATGAAAAAGTTGAAGTTGAGAGAGATTATGTAATGTTCCAAAGATTGATAGCTAGATCGGGTGTGGTGGCTCACGCCTGTAATCCCAGCACTTTGGGAGGCCAAGGAGGGTGGATCATGAGGTCAAGAGATCAAGACCATCCTGGCCAACATGATGAAACCCCGTCTCTACTAAAAATACAAAAATTAGCTGGGAGTGGTGGTGGGCACCTGTAGTCCCAGCTACTCAGGAGGCTGAGGCAGGAGAATGGCTTAAACCCGGGAGGCGGAAGTTGCAGTGAGCCAAGATCATGCCACCGCACTCCAGCCTGGTGACAGAGCAAGACTGTGTCAAAAAAAAAAAAAAAAAAAAGGCCAGACACGGTGGCTCATGCCTGTAATCCCAACACTTTGGGAGGCCGAGGCAGGTGGGTCACAAGGTCAGGAGATTGAGACCATCCTGGCTAACAAGGTGAAACTCCGTCTCTACTAAAAATACAAAAAAAATTAGCTGAATATGGTGGCGGGCGCCTGTAGTCCCAGCTACTGGGGAGGCTGAGGCAGGAGAATGGTGTGAACCCAGGAGGCGGAGCTTGCAGTAAGCCGAAATTGCACCACTGCACTCCAGCCTGGGCGAATGAGTAAGACTCCAAAAAAAAAAAAAAAAAAAAAGGATTGATAGTTATTGCTGTCTCATAAACTCTCAGCTAGGTTGTTCTCCCATTCTTGGCTGGGCTCTTTCATGCATCTATGGTCATCTGAGGGTCAAACCGGCATCTCTGCTGAACCTGGTCATGCTTTCTTCCATATTTGGGGTTGATGGGCTCTTAGGTGGCCGTGGCGGCAACATGTGGACTCTCCATGTGGACAGTCATTCTCAAGCCAGCTAGCCTGGCACTGTCCATGAAAAGGAGGCAGATGAAAGGCAAACTGCCTTTTGAGATCTAGTCTTAGAGCTGGAAAATGATTCTGTCACATTTTTTTGACCAAGGCAAGTCACAAAGCCAGGACAGATTCAAAGAATGGAAAACAGACTTTACCTCTTGATAGGACCATATACAAAGTTATAGAAGATGATTATGGGCAAAAACAACAACAACAACAAAAAAAAACAGCCTAAGTGGGATATACTCATATATCTAATACCTAGTTTTTACAATTAATATTTTACTATATTTGCTTTATCACTTATCTATCTGTCTCCTATTCATTCAGCAATCATCTTTTTTTAAAAAAAATAGATTTTGAAATAAGCTGCAGACCTCATTAACTAGATCAATATCTGACTTGGTTATTTTTTATTCTTTTGAAATAAAATTTACCATGAGATGCACAATTCATGAGTGTACTATTTGAAGAGTCTCAACAAATGCATACAACTATACAACCCAAACTCCTATTAAGATACAGGATCATCAGTCATCCCCCAGTTTTTTCTCTTGCCATCTTCTGAGATAGGAGGTCGGGTTCAGTCACTGGACCAAATTGAGAACTAGCTAAAACAGGTTCAAGGTGAAAGTAGATTTTCATAAGACACACTCACCAATGTGCCATGTCAGTTTACCATTGCCATGGCAACATCCAGAAGTTACCACCCCTTTCCATGGCAATGACCTGACAATCTAGAAGTTACCGTGCTTTTCTGGAAATTTCTGCATAATACACCTGATAATTTTCATGTAATTAAAAGTGGGTATAAATTTGACTGCAGAACTGCCTCTGAGCTGCTACTTTGGGTACACTGCTTATGGGGCAGCCCTGCTCTGCAAGGAGAAGTACCTCTGCTGCTGCTGTGCAATGCCACTTCGATAAAAGTTGCTGTCTAATACCTCCAGCTCACCCTTGAATTCTTTCCTGGGTGAGGCCAAGAACCCTCCCAGGCTATGCCCTAATTTTGGGATTCACCTGCCCTGCCTCACTTCCACTAAATCCCTGGTCCTACAACCAAAGGGCAACCACTGTTGTGATTTTTCTTTTTTTTAAACGTGGAGTAGTCTTGCCTGTTCTAATAAATGGAATTGAAATGGGAAAAGTTCCCTTATCCCCCTCACAGGGCGTGCAATGAGGGAGTGGCTCGCTTCTTTGGTGCTCCACAGCTCAAACCCCTAGGGGGAGCATGCAGATGGGCAGGTTGTGGGGTACATGGGCTCTGACCCCATGGCAGCATCTAGGTTTGAGTGTTTATAGCTCCTGAAGCCCCACTGGGCGTATGTAACAGGGTGTTCTTTCAGCTTAGCCATCTGCAGGCAGCTTGTGTTAATTGGCTCAGTTAGAGCTTCTGCCTTGTCACAATGACAGAGGGCTTTCGGTATACTGAGGTTCTTGCTCTAGTGTTCCAGAAAAATCGAATCATGGGCTTAGAGAATGAGTGCAAGGTTTTGTTGAATGGTGGAGGTAGCTATCAGCAGATGGATGGGGAGCCATTAGGGACATGGAGTGGGAAGGTGGTCTTCCCTTGGAGTTGGGCTGCTTAGAGGCTGGGCTCTCCTCTGCTCACCTTCAGCCGAATTTCCCTTGGCGTCTGCGTCGTTCTGTCATTAATGGCCTGTCAGCGTCTGTGTGTTCTTCTGCCAGTGTATTCCTCTCAAAGTCTAGCCATTTGTGTGTGTGCCCATTGGGGTCTTAGGGTTTTTATAAGCACAGGATGTGGCAGGCCAGGGCTGTCTTGGAAAATGCAACATTTGGGAGTGAAAACAAATGCCTGTCCTCACTTATGTCCATAGGCACAGACCTGAGTGTGGAGCCCTAGCCAGTGACCCTGCCCTTCTCTACCCAGCTCTTCCCCGTCCCCCTCCTGTATCAGAATCATACAGTATAATGATACGGTAAATACTCTTGTGAAAAGCTTCTTTCAGCATAATGTTTTGAGATCCATCCACATTGTTTCATGTATCAACAATTTGCTCATTTTCATTGATAAGTAATATTCCATTTTATGTATACTCTCCAGTTTGTGTACTATCCTCTTCCTGGATGTATGTGCTGTTTCCAGCTTTTGGCTATTTATACGACAAACTACACATATTTAGTGTAACATTGGATGAGTTTTGACACACGTGTATACAAATAAGCCTGTCACTAGGATCAAGATAAAGAACATATGCATCATACCAAGAACTTATAATTTTTATTTTATTTCTTTTTGATTTTTCAGAGACAGGGTTTCACTCTGTCACCCAGGCTGCAGTGCAGTGGTAAGATTATAGCTCACTGCAGTCTCAAAGTCCTGGGATCAAGTGATCCTCCCACCTAAGCCTCCCAAGTAGCTGGGATTACAGATATGCACCACCACACTTGGCTAATTTTTTAAATTTTTTATTTGCAGAGATGTGGTCTCACTGTGTTGCCCAGACTAGTCTCAAACTCCTGGCCTCAAACAATTCTCCTGCCTCAGCCTCCCAAAGCACCGCAACTACAGGCATGAGCCACTGCACCCAGCCCCAAGAACTTTTCTCATGGCCCTTTCATGAGCCATTTTTTTTTCTCCTCTCCCCTATTCTCAGACAATCTACTTTCTCTTATTGTGGATTACTTTGCAATTTCTAGAATTTTATATAAATGAAATCACAAGTGGTTTTTGTTGGTCTTTCCTATTTTACTTAGCATAATTAAATATTTATCTTAATATTAGTATTGCTCATCATCACTATCAATCATGAACAGCCATCAGTTGAATCAATATCTACAATTTCTTTTTGTTTTGCTTTGTTTCTGTTTTGCAGAGGAGTATTCTACTGCACGGATGTGCCGTAATGTATTCATTCGCATTTTGATAGATATTTGGGTTGGTTTAAGTTGTCTGGGCTATTACAAATAAAGCTGATATTGTAATTGTGTAAAAGTCCTGGTGTGAGCACGTGCTTTTATTTCTCTCGGCTATATTCTTAAGAGTAGATAGAATGGCTGTTCACATGATAAGTACATGTTTAGTTTGCCAAGCAACTGCCAAAATATTTTTCAAATGGTTGTACTATTTTCCATTTTCAGAAGCAATGAAAGAGAGCTTCAGTTGTAACACATGCGTGCCAATATCTGATATAGACTGTCTTTTAAACTTCTGCTGTTTCAGCAAATGTATAGTGGTATTTTATTTTGGTTTTAATTTGCACCTTCCTCATGACTAATGATATTAAGCAACTTTTCAGGTGCTTACTTTCCAACTATACATTTTCTGCATGTGATATTTTTGCATCTGTATATTTTTTGCATGTGATATTTCTGTTAAATATTTTTCCATTTTTACTGATTTATTTTTCTTATTTTTGTCAGTATTATATATGTTATATATATGATACAAGAACTTTGTCTTTTCATGCATGTGTTTTGTAAATGTTTTCTTCCAATTCATAGCTTTCCTTTTGGTTTTCTTAAATATGTATATTGAAGGACAAATGTTTAAAATTTAATGAAGTCCAAATTATTTTTTATATATTTTAAGCGTGCCGGGTCCCACTTTAAGAAATCTTTGTCAGAGCCAAGATTACTAAAATGACCTCTTGGTTTCTTCTTGAACTTATATAGTTTTAACTTTCCCATGTAGCTCTATGATTCAATTTGAGTTTTTTAATATTGTATGAGATAAAGTCTCAGTTCTTTTGCATAGGACTATCCAGTAGTTCCAGTACAGTTTGATATAAATATTATTCTCTCCTCATTTAGTTTCCTCAGTTCCTTGGCCAGAAATCAATTGCACACATTGTAGGTCTATTTATGCACTGTCTAACCTGTTTTTTTGGCTTATATTTCCATCTTTATGCCATACTGTCTTGATTATTGTAGTCTTGAAATAAATCTTAAAATCAGATACTCTAGGTTCTCTGTATTTGTTATTCTTTGTCAAAAATAGTTTGGTAATTCTACATTATTTGCATTGCTTAAATAAATGTAAGGATCACCTTGTCATTTTCAACAGAAAAGGCTTCCAGGATTTTGATGAAGATAATATTAAATCTATCTATCTATGTATCTATCTATCATCTGTCATCTATCTATAAATTAAACTAGAGAAATAATGTGATTAAAGTATAAATATATTACAAATAAAATTGTTATTTTCAATTTTACTTTCTGTTCATTTCCAGAATATAGAAATAGAATTTATATTTGTACGCTGACTTCAAATCCTGCAATCTTCCTAAAGTCACTCATTATTTCTAGTACTTTTTCCATAGATTACATAGTATTTTCTACATAGAAAATTATCTCATCTGCAAATAAAGACCATTTTACTTCTCCTTTTCTAATCTGTATGCCTTTTATTTGCATGGTTAGGACTTCTGAGACTGTTGAATTGAAATGGTAAGAGTAGAAATTATTATCTCATTTCCAGTCTTACAAAGAAACTATGAAGTATTTTATCATTAAGTATGATGCTGTAAGTTTTTAATAGATTCTTTCCATTAAATAGAAGAAGTTCCATTTTATTTCTCCTCTACTAAGAGTTTTAATCATGAATACATATTGATTTTGTCAAATATGTTGTGTCAATTAAGATCACACGGTTTTAGTTTTTCAGTTGGTTAGTATTATTAATTACATTAATTGATTTTCAAGTGTTAAACAAACATTGAACTCCTGGAAGGAATTCTACTTGATTATAATACCTTACTTTCTATATAAATGTATTGTTAGATTTAATTTCCAAATCTTTCTTGAGAATAGTTGCCTCTATGTTTAGCAGAGATATTGGCCTCTAGTTTGCTTTTATTATACTCTTTTTGTCTAGTTTTGGTGTTTGGGTAATGATAACTTCATAAAACGGTATGGATGTTTCTTCTATATTCTCCAATATCAATTGTATAAAATTGATAGTATTTTTTCCTTAAATGTTTGGTAGAATTCATCAACAAAGCCATCTGAGGAATTCTTTCTAGGAATGCTTTTAAATACAAAATCAATTTCTTCATAGATATAGGGCTTTTCAGATTATCTTTCTTTGTGAGTTTTGGAATTATATATATTTTAAGATATTTGTTCATTCCATCTAACTTGTGAAATTTATTCCCATAAATGTGTCCATAGTATCCTTAGTATCCTTTATTATCCTTTTAATGTCTATAGAAAGTCTAGTGATGCCTACTCTCTCAT
This sequence comes from Homo sapiens, assembly GCF_000001405.40. Lineage (NCBI taxonomy): Eukaryota > Metazoa > Chordata > Mammalia > Primates > Hominidae > Homo > Homo sapiens. The sequence goes on from NC_000002.12 coordinate 107,519,046, forward strand.
TTCTGATATTTTTAAATTGTCTTCTTTGTTTTCTTGATTATTCTGGTTGCATATTTAAAATTTTTATCGATCACTTCTTTTGATTTTACTGATTTTCTGTATTTTTCTGTTTAGCATTTTACTTACTTCTTCCTTTACTTTTATTGTTATTTTCTTTCTACATTGGGTTTACTTTGCTCTTCTTTACCTATTCTGTTAAATTCAGGGCTTAAGTCAATGACTTGAGACCTCTATTTTTCTCTTATGCAAGCATGGACACCAAAAATGTTCTTACATTTTATTTTCATTTAAATTACATTCAAAGTACTTTTTGAAAACTTTCTTCTTTGTTCCATAGGTTATATAGACATATTTTTTGCTATCAAACATTTAGGGATTTTTCACATATTTTTCTCTTTTTGATTTCGAATTTAATTCCATCTAAATGATAGAACATATTTGATATGACATAGAAACTTTTAAACATATTGGGACTTGTTTTATGACCCAGAATATAGGTCAAGTGTCCACCTGGAAATAATGTGTTTTCTATTATTCTTAGATAGAGTGGTTTATAAATGCCAGCTAAGTCAAGTTGTTTGATAGTCATGTTCAATATTTTTTATAATCATAATTTTTGCCTTCATGTTCTATTACTTATTGAGAGAAAGGCTTTGAAATCTCCCACTGTGTTTCTGCATATTCAACATATGAGGTGCTCTTTTTTGTGCGTGGACCCAAATTTCCATCTGTATCATTTTCTTCTATTTCAATGACTTCCTTTGAAATTTTCTGAAGTATGCAGGTGAAAAATTCTTTCAGGATTTCTATGGAAAAGTCTAGGTCACCTTTATTTTTGAAAGATATTTTTGTTAGATATAGAACTCTAGGTTGTTTCTTTGGTTTTTCTTTCAGAACATTAAATATACTGCTCCACTGTCTTTTTTTGTTGTTGTTGTTTTCTGATAAAAAGTTAACTGTGATTTTTATGTATGTTACTCAGCATATTCTGTGTATTTTTTTTTTTGGTGTGCTTTTAAGATTTTCTCTTTATCACTGCATTTGAGCAATTTGATTATGAGGTGACTTGGGGTAGTTTTCTTCATGTTCCTTTTACTTGGGATTTACTGAACTTCTTAGGTCTATGTGTATTGGTCTGTTTTGCTTGCTATGATAGAATACCACAGCCTGGGTGACTGGGTGGTTTATAAACAACAGAAATGTATTTTTCACAGTTGTGGAGGCTGGGAAGTCCAATGTCAAGACGCTACCAGATTCAGTAGTGAGGGTCCACTTTTTGGTTCAAAGCCATCTTCTTGCTTTTTCCTTAAATGGCAGATAGGAGTGAGGGAGCTTTCCAGGGTCTTTTTTATGAGGCACTAATTCCACTCATGAGGTGTCTGCCATCATTGGATATTAAGGTTTCAACTTATAAATTTGGGGTGGGAGAAACACATTCAGTCTATAGCACTGGGCTCATGTTTTCCAACATTTGGAAAAATGTTGGCTATATTTTCTTCATGTGTTTTTCCTTTCTCCCCAACTCATTCTCTTGTGTGCAATAAATTGCACATATATTAGCCTGCTTGAAATTGTCCTACAGCTCACTGAGACTCCACCCATTCTGTTTTCAGTCTTTTTGTTTTTTTTGTTTATTTTTGGACAGTTTATATCAATGCAGAATTAGTTCACTAAGGTTTTCTTGTGTGATGTCTGCCTAATCTGCTATTTTCCTGTTCCAGCATATTTCCCACCTCTAGAAATTCAATTTGAGTCTTTCTAATATCTAACATATCTCCTATTAACATGCTCTTTCTGTCTTCTACATTCTTGGACATCCAAAGTATATTTATAATAGCTGGCTTAATGTCTTTCTCTACTAACTTTATTAAGAGACATTTCTAATGGTTTATTTTTCTCCTCATTATAGATATATTTTTCCTGTTTTTTGCCTGTCTGGTCAGTTTTAGAATTGAATACTAAAGATTAAGAATTTTGCATTATTGAATGTTAGGTTGTTTTTTTCTTTTTGGATTCCTTAAGCTGTTTTTCCAGTTTTATTGTGAGATACAGTAAAATTATTATAAATAATTTGATCTCTTTTGAGGCTTGTTTTTAAAACTTGTGAGTCAAGGCCACAGTACTCTTTATTCCAGAACGAATTTGGTCCTGCTACTAGGATGATACATTTCTGAATACCCGACCCAAAGCCCCAAGGAATACAAGTCTTCTTGTATCTGCTGACAGTGTTTGTGGTCTATAGAAATTATTATACCTGTTCCTTTCCCACTCTCAGTTTCCTCACATACAAATACTAATCAATACTTAGCTTAATACTTGAAGGGAACCCCCTACAGGCCTCTGTGGCTCTCTCTCTGTAGTTCTCTCCTCTTCATGAAGCTCTCTTCTCTATGTTATTCAGCTATGTGAATTTTAGTTCCCTTGGCTTCTTTAAATTTTCAACATTGCCTCAACTGAGGTAGGCTGCTAACCTCTAAGTTCTCTTTTACTGCAAATTGGACTGGAAACTCAGGAAGTAGCTGTTTTAATCTTAGGGCTCACCTTATATCTTGTCCTTCAGGAATCACTATCTTGTGTTTGCTTGTTTTATAAGATCTGTAAATCATTCTGTCATATTTTTTTTTGGTTTCTTACTTAAGAGGGAAGGATAAATTTAACACTTCTTACTCCACTGTGGCTGATAATGGAAAATTTTCTACTCTTTTAGTTCTAAACTTATCTTTTGTTTTACATAAAATGTTCAGCCCTTTCTCAAAGTGGAAGTATCGTATTATACTCCCTACAACAATGCATCAAAGCTTATGATCCTCACCAACATTTAATATTGCCAGTTCTTATAAATTTAGCCATTTGAGTGGGTATTTTCTTATTATGGTTTTAAATTTTATTTCTATGATGACCAATGTTCCCTGGTGTTTCATATGCATATTGGACATTTGTATATCTTCTTTTGTGTCTGTAGAAATCATTAAAAATTTTTGTTTGTTTGTCTTTTTATTACTGAGTTATTGGAACCCTTTATATATCCTAGGTAACAGTCCTTCATCAGCTACGTATGTTTATTGAAAATATTTTTTCCTTAGTAATGACACGCCAGTGTTCTTAATGAGCATTTTGGTAACATACAGTTCAACTTTTTTCTTCAATGTTGATTGCTTCCCGTGTCCTAGCTAAGAAACTGTTGCTTTCCTTCATATAATAAAGACATTTTCTCTCAAAAGGTAACTTGCCTTATAAAGACTTCATAATGTTAATTTTTATGTTTAGGTTGTATAATCAACCTCAAATTAATATTTAGGTAAATGGTGAGCTGGGAGTCAAGGCTTAAACACTTACTGTTTTTCTTTTTTCTTATGGATATCCAAACTACATTATTTTTAAACAGGCTTTCTCTCTTCCTTGGATTGCTTTGGCACATTGGTTGAAAAATCAAATGACTATTTGGGGGCTTTATATACTGTGCTATTCACTTATTTGTTAATCCTCATGCCTGAATCATATTGCCTTGATTAATGTAGCTTTATATTAAGTTTTGAAGTCAGTATAAGAACCTCCAACTTTGTTCTGTTTTATCTAGAATACATGTATTAGAAATACTAATTTATTTGCATATTCTTGTAGACTAACAACAGCATGTCAATTTCTATAAACATCTGGCCGAACGCATAGGATCAATTCAATAGTTTTATATAGCCAGAGTTGATAATTTTACTGTATTGATTCTTTCAAATCATGAACATAAGATACCTCTTCATTTATTTAGGTCTTCTTTAATTTTTCTCACCAATGTTTCCTTTTATTTCCTAGTATAGAATTTTTATATGTGTCTTATAAAACATATCCCTAAGCATATTATGATTTCCACATAATTGTACTTGGAGCTTTAAAAACTGTACTTTTAATTATCCGCTATTAGAGTATAGAAATGTATTTTCTTGCCTTGTGTCAGGCTTAGTTCTCTACCTGTCTCTGCTCAGCAAGATCTTGGACAGATAATTTGTCATTTTTTTCAGCTCCATGACAGTCAAAGCTCTTCTTATTTATCTACCCCCATGCCTACCCCCGCACCAGGTAGTGCCTCTTTTCCTGGGCAAAGCCTAGGATGTCAGCATCTTGATGGATTCTCACAATGAGGAACTATAACTAGAAAAAGTAACTATGAAACATGAACTCATCTCCCCATGGCTTGCCTCTCAGCAGTCTTGGATCATTTATTCCTAGATACATTAGACATAGCTATATATATAATTTTATAAGCTTTTTATTTTGTTCAGTAGGAGTGTTGAACTGCTGAAAGTTACTATTGTAGAAACTATAGTGCAGCCATAGATGACTTTTAAGGGATAATACTGAATGATATGTTAATGGGTTAGAAATAGAGACAGAAAGTTAAAATTTTGTTTTCTACTCTTCATTTTATTTTTGTAGGTTCATGCTCTAACTAAACAAAATTACCCACTGTTTCTCTATGAGTCTTCCATTTCCCACATTTTTTTATTGTGAATACATGTTGCTTTTAAAAATTTTCCTGCTCAAAAGTTTATATACTTTATTTTAGTTTATTTATTTTTTTGAGGCACAATCTTGCTGTGTCACCCAGGCTGGAGGGCAGTGATGTGATCTCAGCTCACTGCAACCTCCACCTCCTGGATTCAAGCGATTCTCCTACGTCAGCCTCCCGAGTAGTTGGGACTACAGGTGCACCCCACCACATCTGGCTAATTTTTGTATTTTTAGTAGAGACAGGGTTCCACCATGTTGGCCCAGCTAGTCTCGAACTCCTGACCTCAGGTGATGAACTTGCCTCGGCCTCTCAAAGTGCTGGGATTACAGGCGTAAATCACTGCACCTGGCCTCATTTCCCACATTTGTGCCTTTTCCATGTTGGTTATTTATCCAGGAAAAATATTAAATACAACAACAACAAAAATAGGAACTAATGTTTATTGATTGGTTATTATGCTCCACTTACCATTTTAAGAGCTTTACATGTATTAACTTATTTAATCATCAGAATAACCATTTCAGGTAATTACATTATTTTTCCATTTAACTGAGTTAGAAGTTGAGGCATAGGGAATTTAAGAAACTACATACATTTGGAAAATTTTGGGGCTATTTGAAATTAGAAGCTAGGTAATCCAGTTTTAGTGTCTGTGTTTGTATTATAATCTCCCTTCCCCATCACCACTGCTCTCAGTTATCTAAAATCTGTGTATTTTAGAATAAGTATTTGGAATTTATTTGGAATAGATAGAGTTGTAATAACTATCTTTCCAATGCTGTCCCATTATGTTTTATCTTCACCTCTTTCTTTGTCTTAGATGCTCTTTATGCTAATTTATATTCTACTGCATGTTCTAGCTAACCACCTTTTACCCCTAAGGCCACTTGAGGGCAAGACCCCATACAACTCATTAAAAAAAAATTTCGATACTTTTATTTTAGATTCAGTGAGTAAATGTGCAGGTTTGTTACATGGGTATATTATGTGATGCTGAGGTTTGGAGTACAAAAGATCTCATCACTCAGGTAGTGAGCATAGTACCTAACAGTTTTTCAACACTTGGCCCCATCGCTCCCTCTCCCCTCTAGATGTCCCTAGTGTCTATTGTCTACAGCTTTATGGCCATGAGTACCCCATGTTTAGATCCCACTTATAAGTGAGAACATGCAGTATTGGGTTTTCTGTTCCTGCATTGATTCACTTAGGATGATTGTCTCTTGCTGCATCCATGTTGCTGAAAAGCATGTGATTTTATTCTTTTTTATGGCTACATAGTATTCCATGGTGTATATGTACCAATTTCTTTATCCAGTCCACTGTTGATGGGCACCTATGTTGATTCCATGTCTTTGCTATGATGAATAGTGTTGAGATTAACATGCAAATGCATGTGTCTTTTTAGTAGAATGATTTTTTCAATATATACCCAATAATGGGCTTTCTGGGTTGAATGATAGTACTAAGTTCTTTCAGAAATCTCCAAACTGCTTTCCACAGAGGCTAAATCAATTTACATTTCCACCAACAGTAGGCAAGCATTCCTTTTTCTCCACAGCCTTGCCAGCATCTACAACTCCATTTTGTTTTTGTTTTCATGTGAGTACTTAGGATAATGTCTTTCGCATTGTAGGCAATTGATGAATATGTGAAGCAGGAAAGAAAGACAATGTATTAGTTTTTACAATAATGGTTTCCAAGTCAAATATTATGTTTCCATCAGCTGTATCTCATACGTTTAAATATAGTTAAATGCTTCTGTGCAGAATTTTTTTTCTGGAATTTTCTGAAAACTTTATAGGCTTTTCCAAATTTCAAATCCTGTGAAAAATTATTCAATAAATCATGAAAACAGAAAAAAGTATTATAATTCTCATATGAAAAGTAAAGCTTACAAAGCAACATAAGAATGTTACTGGTTCAAAGGAATTTAATAATTTACTGACAATAAATTGAAAACAAAAGTGGAAAAAGTGGACTAGAAGTCAACGATTAAGGTCAGATTTCTATGAGCCAGCACAAAAACATGTGGGAGAGAAGCCAACAATTTCTAATCAGTGTTATTTGTAACTGCCATATTATGTGTGTTTTTCTGGCTCTGTATGCTGCTAATGCTTAGTCATTCTTGCAAATGAAATAAACATTAATAAATACATGTGCACAGTATACTTTATATACAGTATACTCTGTTGTGTAGTTCCCCAAGAAATAGCAAGCTTTGGAAGCAAAAAAGTCCTTAGATTGGCAATTTTGAAAGAGATTCTGTGGAGTGCTATTAACCTTTTTAACTACAGACTACAGTTCTTTGTAAATAATTTAACAGAAGACATGCAAAGAAGGAACATGATATTCTTTGTGAATATTGTGACTTGAAATTACAAACATCTGAAAATCTGAATTAGAAAAGCAATGGAGATTTTCATCAAACACACACAAATAAAATCAGTATCAGAGTAAGCCAACAAAATATTTGCATGAACCGATATATGCATTAACACCCAGTATAAAGAGGCTCTAAGATGCACTTACACATGTGACCAACTTCAACAAAAATTCAAAGACATTTCCTACACCTGGAATATTTGTCATGAAACAAAGATCAAGACTACGGGAGAGAGTAATTAATCCTTTGAGTTTTTTTTATTTTTTTTTTACTTTTTATCTTAAGAATGATAGCTTTTAATATTAAATATTTGCAGTATAATCTTTTTTGGTTTTTACAAGGCCTTCTTTGGTATAAATGTTTCCTTTTTTCATATTTTATTGTTAAATGCCTTTATCAGGTAGAGATCATTTTCTATGTTTTGGAAGTAACAAAATATATTTGTTAATAAACCATAAGTCACTGATGCTTGCTATCTAAACAGACATCATTCAAAAATGCTTAGTTGCACTATACATTATTACATGGTTTAATAAGGCATGAATAGGCAAAGGCTGGAAGCATTCCCTTGGAGAACTGGAACAAGACAAGGATGCTCACTCTCACCACTCCTATTCAGAATACTACTGAAAGTCCTAGCCAGAGCAATCAGGCAAGATAATAAAATTAAAGGCATCTAAATAGGAAGAGAGGCAGTTAAACTATCTGTCTTTGCAGAAGATATGATTCTATACCTAGAAAACCCCAAATATTTTGCCAGAAGCCTCCTGGAACTGATAAACGACTTCATTGAAGTATCAAGATACAATATCAATGTATAAAAATCAGTAGCATTTCTATACACCAATAATATCCAAACTGAGAATTAAATAAAGAATGCAGTCTTATTTACAATAGCCACAGAAAGATTAAAATACCTAGGCATACAGCTTACCATGGAGGTGAAACATCTCTACAAGAAGAATTACAAAACACTGCTGAAAGAAATAAAAAATGACACAAACAAATGAAGAAACATTCCAAGCTCATGGATTAGAAGAATCAATAATGTTAAAATGGCCAAATTGCCCAAAGAAATGTATCAATTCAGTGTTATTCTTATCAAACTATCAATGTCGTTTTTCACAGATTTAGAAAAAAGCTATTCTAAAATTCATATGAATTTTAGAGCCTGAATTGCAAAGCTAACCAGAAAGAACAAAGCCACTAGGCATCACACTACCCAACTTCAAACTATACTACAAGGCTACAATAACCAAAACATCATGGTACTGGTACAAAAACAACACATAGAACAATGGAACAGGATACAGAACTCACAAAGCTGCACAAATACAACCAACTGGTCTTCGACAGTTTTTTTTTTTTGTTTTTTTTTTTGAGATGGAGTTTCACTCTAGTCACCCAGGCTGGAGTGCAATGGCGCAATCATGGCTCACTGCAACCTCCACCTCCCAGGTTCAAGCGATTCTCCTGCCTCAGCCTTCAAGTAGCTGTGATTATAGGCACCTGCCACCAGGCCTGGCTAATTTTTGTACTTTTAGTAGAGATGAAGTTTCACCACGTTGGCCAGGCTGGTCTTGAACTCCTGACCTCAGGAGATCCACCTGCCTTGGCCTCCCAAAGTGCTAGGATTACAGGTGTGAGCCACGGCACCCGGCCAACAAAGTTGACAATAACAAACTGGGAAAAGGACTTCCAATTCAATAAATGGTGCTGGGATAACTGGCTGGTTATTTGCAGAATATTGAAACTTGACCACTTCTTTTCACCATATACAAAAACTAACTAAAGGTAAACCAAACACTTAAATATAAGGCCTAAAATAATAAAAACCCTAGAAGAAAACCTAGGAAATACCATTCTGGACATCGGCCTTGGCAAACAAATTATGACTGAGTCTTTGAAAGCAAGTGCAACGAAAACAAAAATTGACAAGTAGTACCTAATTAAATTGAAAAGATTCCACACAGCAAAATAAACTATCAACAGAGGAAAGAGACAACGTACAAAATGGGAGAAAATATTCACAAACTCTGTATCTGACAAAGGCCCAATATCCAGAATCTGTAAGGATCTTAAATAATTCAACCAACAAAAAACAACCCCATTAAAGAGTGGGCAAAGGACATAAACAGATACTTCTCAAAAGAGACATATATGTGATAAACAAATACATTTTTAAAATGCTCATTATCATTGATCATTAGAGTAATGAAAATCAAAACCATAATGAAATACCACCTCACACCAGTCAGAATGGCTATTACTAAAAAGTAAAAAAAAAAAATAGATGTTGCCAAGGCTGCAGAGAAAAGGGAACACTTATACATTGCTGGTAGAAATGTAAATTATTTCAACCACTGTGCAAAGCAGCGTGGAAATATTTCAAATAACTTAAAATGGAACTACTATTTGACCCAGTAATCCTACTACTGGGTATACATCCAAAAGAATATAAATCATTTTACCAAAAAGACATATGCATTCGTATGTTCATTACAGAGCTAGTAACCTTAGCAAAGACACAGAGTCAGCCAAGATGTCTATCAATAGTAGTCTGCATAAAGAAACTGGTACATATAAACCGTGGGATACTACGTAACCATCAAAAAGAACACAATCATGTCTTTTGCAGGGACATGAACGCAGATGGCCATTATCCTAAGCAAATTAATGCAGGAATAGAAAATCAAATAAGGCATGTTCTCATATACAAGTGGGAACTAAACATTGAGTATACATGGATACAAAGATGGGAACAATAGACACTGGGGGCTGCGTAAGGAAGAAGGGTGGGAGTGGTACATGGAATGGAAGGGTACCGATCGGGTACTGTACTCATTACCTTGGTGACAGGATCATTCTTACACTGAGCCTCAGCAACAAGCAATATCGCCATGTACCAAACCTCCACATGCATTCCCTGAACCTAAAATAAAAGTAGAGATAAATAAATAAATATAAATAATATTTATTTATTATTGGTAAATAAATGAGGCATTTATTTACCAAGACAATGTTTGTGTTCCATGACCAGTTCTGAAAAAATGGAGTTAAATACATTTATCCAAAAAATGGATAAAAATACTAGATTATTATCCTGATGCACAACAGGAACCTGTTGTGCTGTACTCATTTTGTTTAGTCACATGTTCACAAAAAAGAATTACAATTAGGAGTATTTTTTTTAAACATGAGCAAAAGCGATATTGAAGCAGTTATGGTGTCTGGGGTAAATACCTGGGGTTCATCCTCTTGCACCAAGAAAATTTAGGACACAGACACATATGAGGAGTTTAGGAGCAGAGGTTTAATGGGAAAAGAAAAAGAAAAGAAAACAGCTCTCTCTCTCTCTAGGGAGAGGGAGGAGATTTCCAAGAGGAAAGGCCAGCTGGCAGCACATGTGGTGAATTTTATAGTCAGGCTCCAGTAGGCGGTGTCTGATTTATGTAGAGCTCACAGATTGGTTCCATCAGGTGTGACATTTACATAGCCCAGGGAAGGCTGGCCACCCTACCCTAATCTTATTATGTAACTGAACTTTCCCCTTGGCCAGGGCCATCTTGTCTGCTCCTTACTGTACATGTGGCTGGCAGAGAAGGGAAGGTGGAGCCGCTATTTTGAACATGATTGGCACAACTGCCAGCATCTATATCTGCAGCTTGATTTTACAGGCTGCTCTTTGTTAGAAAGGAACATGATTTGGGGCTACTTTTCATTAAAAGGAAAACTGTACCGAAGACTTCCATACCCTCACTATCTGTGTAAGTAATTTCTTCTTCATTCCTGTACCAATATGAGATAGTCTGAGTTTGTGGGTAAGGGAATAATTGCCATACTTCTTCTTTTACCTTAAGAAACTGGTCCTCTGTGCAACTTCATTTTGCATGTAGATGTAATTTGTTTGTCTGCAAGGGAATGTACATATTTTAAACTCACTGGCTCATAACGAATGCTTCTGGAGCACTAGGGAGTTAGGGGAAGTGGCAGGTTAGGCATAGAGAAGTATGTGCAGGTTTCAGCAAAGAGCAAGAAGAAATGTGCAAGCCTTTAGGGCCATAGTCAAGGAAAGAAGATGCATCAAGAAGTTAAAATAAGTTGCAATTTCAATCACCTAAGGCAATGAAGATAAGGACTGAGAAGAAGCTACTGGGTTAATCATACAGTGGTTTGCTTGGAAATAAATATTTCACTGGAGTGATGGAAGTAGAGAAATAACTGCCCTAAGTTAATGAGTGAAAAGAAGAAGGTGAGAAAGTGGATATGATATGTACAGAGTTAACCTCCCAAAATTTTAGCTGTGAAGGGGAGGCGATGGAGGATTTCTGGAAGAGTAGAGAAGGTTCTGGAAGTTTCCCAAAATCTTGATATTCCCATCTATACAGATAGAATATTAAAAACACATTCTCCATAGTTTTATTATGGTCACTGAGTGAGATCATCTCTTTATTTATTCCATTTCATCATATAACATAGTAAAAACTTGAGTGTTAAGTATTACTATTTTTAATTTTTGACAATTTGGGATGAAAAGCACTATTTCATTACTTTTAAAATTTTTGTTTCTTTGATTACCGGTTTGTTATTAGTTTATCAGATCCATGGATTTCTTCTGTGAATTAAGAGTCTATCTCATTTGCCTATTTTTTTCTGAGTTTTATTTTGCTTATTATTTTCAGAAGGTTTTTTTATTAAAAACATTTTGTTTATATATTCTTCTGCCTGTGTCTTTTCACACTGCACATGGAAGGACACTATTTTTCACATGCTTTTACTTTTTCTTCTAACTTCACCACCTCCTGCGCTTTCTTAAAATGGAATTTTAATTACGAATGATAATTATTTTTACATTAGGCCTTTAAGTACTTAGAAATAATTTCTTAGCAACTATTTTAGGTTTTATAATCCTATTATCCCCCCATATGTTTATATTCTACAAGTAATATAAATTTTATTAGTCAGCTCTGTGCCCTGTTGGCCCTTTTATTCTAAAGGTGAATTTAAGTTCTTTGCACCATGACATTTTCTTTTTTTTAAAAAAAGTCTTTGATAATCTCATCTTTGGCAAATTGTTGTATGAATTTCTAGAACTCCTATTAGATGAATGTTGGAATTTTTAGATTTATCTTCCAAGTTTCATTATTTTTCTTCTAATATCTTTTGTTTCCTTCACACAAGTTTCCACCTTATAAATCACATTCTCACTACGTATATTATTTATAGCACTCATCTACTCTTTATTATTTTGTTTCTATAACAATATTTTAAAACTCCAAGAACTGTTGTTGAGAGGCTTCTATTTTACTATTAACCACTTTATTTTCATTTATTTTTCTTTTCCTCCTCTTCATCTTCACCTCTTGCTTCTGCTCTTCCTCATCATCCTCTTCCCCCACTTCTTTTTTTTAAACAAATTACATCTCAATTCTTGATGAGGAGTGAGGACTGTTTATGTGGAGGTTTCCCTTTTTCCACTTTATTAATTTTGCTTTCTTAGAGTTTGTTTGCGTGTGATATCTCTTCTTAGGCTGTGATTCTTGTTTGTCTGTAAATATTTGTGGATAGTCGAAGTAGAATATATTACTAGCTCAAGTCTATTTTCTCATTTTTCAGGGAATCCCTGGAAAGAAATGAAGCTTCACACTCAGAATATCACATTTAGTGATTTCAGGAGACCAGCAGAATAGGAATTAAGCTGGAACTCCTATACAGTTTATTTTCTAGGTTTGGGACCTCTGCGTACCTCCTGTGGCTTTATGGTACCTGGTATTGTTTCCCCAGACCATGAGTCTCCAGTGTTGGAGTGCCCACTTCAGAAGTCTGTGTGTTTTGCTTCATCCTGAGGTAAACACTGCTTAGTATGTGCATCCTGGTGGTGGTTGTGATGGTGGGGACTAGCTCAGCCATTCTCCCTGTGTGGCTACTGACAGGTAAAAGGAAATCAGTGTAAGTAACTAGATTGGGGAGTTAATGATGATATCCACTTGGACATACTGTGTGGAGCCTGTTGGGAATCCAGGTGACAAATCCAGCCAGAATATAAAAATACAGATGTATAGCTCTAGCAAGACACACACACACACACACAAACAGAGAGAGAGAGAGAGAGAGAGAGAGAGAGAGAGAGAGTGTAGAGATGTACTGGAAGTCATCAGCATGAAGGATATGTATGATATCCCGTAGAGAAAAAATTCCAAACAAAAAAGAAAACACTAAAATGAACAGAAAGTAAGGAAATGCATCCTTTTGGAAAATGAAGAAATCAGAAAAATGTGGTAAGCAATGTGGAATTAGAGAAAGAATTAAAAAATTTAAGAGAGCTAGAGAAACTAGAGAAGACATAAGTGCTCACAATGACAACTCTATGTGGATGACATCTTACCCTTTAAAATATTAGGTAAACACCACATACATAAAATATAGTAATATTTAACTTTTCTCTTCAAAAATCTTAACATTCTTCCTTTCCTGTTTTTGTTGTTCTTAAAAGATTTGTTTCTCCTACATTTTGACATAAATTTAATACTTCATGTCTAAATAAGGGGTCCCATAGAAAGTAGAAACCTGTGCATAAAAATTGTCACTGAAGTGTGCTTTCATCACAGTACAGAAGATTCTAAATATTGTAAATGTTTAGTAGATACTATATATATGTAGTATATATACACTATATATAGTATTGTATATATATAGTATAGTGTATATATAGTGTATATATATGTGTGTATATGTATATACACATACACACACACACACACACATATATATATAGACACAAAGGCATCAGAGACTTAGAGTAAAAACCTGATGCAGAAAAATGAGTGGAAGATAGAGATAGTCATGAAAAGGCAAGAAGAAATGTTAAAGTCAGAGAGAATAAGAGAGAAAGGGGAAGGAAGGTGAAATCAAGGTGAGTATTGAAGATGATACAAATGTGGAGATCAAAACAAAACAAAAAAAACCTGATCTGTGGGCTGAAAAGCCTCATAGATGAAATAAACAATTTAAGATTTTTTTCTTAAAAGTTAGATATATTCATTTTTTCTGAGTTATGAAACATTTGATTTTCTGTGAAAGACGGTTCTCTCACTCTCTGTTTTTCTGGCTCACAGTTTCTTTCTGAACCTAAAATTCCATCACAATTTTAAAAGCAAAACAAAAACTGTTCAATAATATTATTTTTCTTTTGTTTATTTGTGAGGATTGCTTAGTCACCTAATTCAATCATACGCAAACTTAACTATAATGTTGGCAGATTAATTTCAAAATCCAGCTGAAAGGCAGAAATTTTTGTGATACAGTCAGCAACACTTCTTTCTCCTGCACTATTTCACTGACATCGCAGTGCATTGACCAAGCCACCTTGATGGCAGTCTATTTTTAGGGTCCTCTCCTTACACAGCCAGACCCTAAGCCATGGCTCACCATCAGCGAAACAGACTGGGTGATTCAGGCTCCACTCTTTCCTCCTTCTAGGTCAGTCCCTTCCCAGGGGTTTAGTATGAGCTACAGAGAAATTCCCACCAAGAACAAAACTAATTCTCACTAAAACTTTACGTCGTAAAAGGTTAAGATATTAACTCTTCCAGGAGGTGGTTCAAAGGCCGAAGACATAAATAAGTTGAATTCACATTTATGAAAGGCACTCAGGGATATTTTGTTTATGAGACCTTGCACTATGATCCTTTAACTCAGCTGATAATAACAGCTTCTTATAGGCAAACAAAAGGCTTATCCTTTTAGAAACATCATAATACCAAAAGCCTTGATTTTTTAGTGGGGAGCAGTGGTCAAGTTTTCCTGCCTCCAAAAGGAATAGAACTTGGTCCTGAAATGTAGCACTCAGCCCCATTAAAATGCCTTCTAGGAAAAATCCGACTTGCCTCCTCTCATCTTGCTGAATTTATCTTCTCTCTACTCATCTGCATTATCAATTCAGCTGGATTTCCATCACCTTTGATATATCTTTTTTTTTTTTTTTTTTTTTTTTGAGACGGAGTCTCGCTCTGTTGTCCAAGCTGGAGTGCAGTGGCGGGATCTCGGCTCACTGCAAGCTCCGCCTCCCAGGTTCAGGCCATTCTCCTGCCTCAGTTTCCTGAGTAGCTGGAACTACAGGCACCCACCACCACACCTGGCTAATGTTTTGTATTTTTAGTAGAGACGGGGTTTCACCATGTTAGCCTGGATGGTCTCGATCTTCTGACCTCGTGATCTGCCCGCCTCAGCCTCCCAAAGTGCTGGGATTACAAGCATAAGCCATCGCGCCCGGCCCTTTTATATATCTTAATGTCTGGGACCCTCTACTCTAGCCCGTGGTTTATGGTTTGTTTTCCCCTGGTTTTTGTTCTCAGATGCAATTATACTAGATACCTCTTCAGAGGACTTGTCCCCCTGAATGGTATTTATGTCTCTAAACCAAATGCAACTCCTGAAATGCCAACATTTCCAATCACCCAGTTTTCTACCAAAATAGTTTTTCTACCTGCCTACTTGGTAACCACCTGAATATCTGCCCAACACATTTGCCTGTATTTGCTGTCTCCACCTTGCCTTGTTCTATTGTTTCTTGAGCCCAATTCTGCCAGGCATTGTTCCCAACACCACACTAAAAGCAGCTTTCTTCAACTTCACCAACTACTACACTTTTCTGAAGCCAATGGCCAATTTTCAAGGCTCAACTCACTTGTCCTAAACCACATGTGTCACAGCTGGTAACTCCTTCCTTCCTGAAACACTTTCTTCTGTAGCTTCCACTTCCTCACTATTCTCCTTCTGCCTCAATTGGTGACACTTCTCATTCTGCTTCACAGGCTCCTCATACCTGTGCCTCTAAGCGTTAAACATCCCCAGGCCTCCTCTCTTCTTTAAACATTCCCTCTGCTATGATGCTTTCACTCAGTCTCATGTTTATAAATTCTATTTACATACCACCAACTCCCAAATCTACGTCCACAGCCTAGAACGCTCCCTGAACTCGTGTCTCCAACTGCCTGCGTGCCCTCTCCACATATGTCCTAAATAGCTGTCTCTAAATTAACATGCCCAAAATTAAGCAGCTTACTCCGACTCCCACCAAAATCTCCTTTAGCGATTTTACACTTCAGTAAGTGGACACTCCAAAGTCACTCTAAATCAGCACCTTAGGAACTGGGCTAGCTGCTGTATCTTCAGAACAGCTCTGGCTTTTTGCCAGCCCATTTTGCTACAGCATGCCTCCCAGTAGTGTAATTTTCTTCAACGATATGTTGATAAGAAAAAATACATATAGTCTCTGCAAGGCTGTGGCCGGAATCGGTGGGTTCTTGGTCTCACTGACTTCAACAATGAAGCCGCGGATCCTCGTGGTGAATGTTACAGTTCTTAAAGATGGTGTGTCCAGAGTTTGTTCCTTCTGATGTTTGGACGTGTTCCGAGTTTCTTCCTTCTGATGGGTTCGTGGTCTTGCTGGCTTCAGGAGTGAAGGTGCAGACCTTCACAGTGAGTGTTACAGCTCTTAAAGCGTCATGTCTGGAGTTGTTCATTCTTCCCATCCAGAGTTGTTCATTCCTCCCAGTGGGTTTGTGGTCTCGCTGGCTTCAGAAGTGAAGCTGCAGACCTTTGAAGTGAGTGTAGCAGCTCATAAAGGCAGTGTGGACCCAGAGAGTGAGCAACAGCAAGATTTATTGCGAAGAGCAAAAGAACAAACCTCCCACGTTATGGAAAAGGACCCCAGTGGGTTGCCACTGCTGGCTCGGGCAGCCTGCTTTTATTCCCTTATCTGGCCCCACCCACATCCTGCTGATTGGTCCATTTTACAGAGAGCTGATTGGTCTGTTTTACGGAGAGCTGATTGGTCCATTTTGACAGGGTGCTGATTGGTGCGTTTACAATCCCTGAGCTAGACACAAAAGTTCTCCAAGTCCCCACTAGATTAGCTAGACAGAGAGCACTGATAGGTGCATTTACAAACCTTCAGCTAGACTCAGGGTGCTGACTGGTGTGTTTACAAACCTTGAGCTAGACACAGAGTGCTGATTGGTGTATTTACAATCCCTTAGTTAGACATACAGGTTCTCCAAGTCCCCACTAGACTTAGGAGCCCAGCTGGCTTCACCTAGTGGATCCCGCATGGGAGCTGCAAGTGGAGCTGCCCGCCAGTCTGGCGCCGTGCGCCCGCACTCCTCAGCCCTTGGGCAGTCAATGGGATTGGGTTCTGGGGAGCAGGGGGTGACACTCATCAGGGAGGCTCCAGCTGCATGCTGGAGCCCACAGCAGGGTGGAGGCTCGGGCATGGTGGGCTGCAGGTCCCAAGCCCTGCCCTGCGGGGAGGCAGCTGAGGCCTGGCGAGAATTTGAGCACAGCGTCTGTGGGCCGGCACTGCTGGGGGACCCGGTGCACCCTCCACAGCTGCTGGCCCGGGTGCTAAGCCCCTCACTGCCCGGGGTGGCAGCGCTGGCCAGCTGCTCTGAGTGCTGGGCCTCAGAGCCCATGCCCACCAGGAACTCACGCTGGCCCGCGAGCACCATGTGCAGCCCCAGTTCCTGCCCACACCTCTCCCTCCACACCTCCCCGCAAGCAGAGGGAGCTGGCTCCGGCCTCGGCCAGCCCACAGATGGGCTCCCACAGTGCAGTGGTGGAGTGAAGGGCTCCTCGAGCATGGCCAAAGTGGGCACCGAGGCCGAGGAGGCACCGAGAGTGAGCGAGGGCTGCCAGCACGCTGTCATCTCTCAATGCCACTGTCTGAGTGGCAATTGCGTGTTCTCTTCATGTCTGTGTGGGTTTTCTCTGGGTATTCCAGTTTCCTCCCCTACATCCCAAAGCTGTGCACATGAGGTGAACTGCCATGTCTATATGGTTCCTATATGAGTGAGTGTGGGTGTGTGTCATAGATAAGAGATAGCAGAAGAATTGAGAGATGAGTCAGCCCAAGGCAAAGAATGTCTCTTTTTATGAAAATTGGGAGATGTAAAACTGAAACCTAACAGAAAACACTTTCCAAATCACATAAAACATCACTTATCAATTGAGCTAAAAGAACTGCAGCTATAATCAATTATGGATACCACAGGACAGTGGACAGAAATGATATTGAAAAGAAAGACAAAGAAAAAATTGGGACACTTTTTACTCTATAGTCTGTATTTGACTATAAACATCTAATATAACATTTGTGGCAGCAAAAGGATAGGGTTGTACAAGGTACCCTTACTGATGTAGGGCACTGATGAGGTTGAAGGTGAGATGGCCCTGACTGTGGGGTACCCAATTGCATATGTGTGTAAGGGGTCCCAAAACAGGAGGCATGAGAAAGGTGACAAAATTGATTTAGGATTAGACCTAAAAATTTAAAAATATGTGCTAGGCTTTGTTTTTTTTTAGCCCTTAGTAACAACAGAGAGCATGTCTGAGGGATCTCCACTTTTACTGCTGAGCTAGGAACGAGCCTAAAAAGTACAGTAAAGCTTCACTTAAGGTCACCCATAGGTTCTTGGACATTGAGACTACACCAAATGACATATAATGAAAACAACTTGGCTGAGTGTGGTGGCTCATGCCTATAATTCCAACCCTTTGGGAAGTCAAGGTGGGTGGATTACTTGAGGTCAGGAGTTCGAGACCAGCCTGGCCAACATGGCAAAACTCCATCTCTACTGAAAATACAAAAATTAACCAGGCGTGGTGGCATGTACCTGTAGTTCATAGCTACTTGGGAGGCTGAGGCAGAAGAGGTGGAGGTTGCAGTGAGCCGAGATCACACCACTGCGCTTCAGCCTGGGTGACAGGGTCAGACTCTGTCTCAAATAATAAATAAATAACTAAAATAAATAAATAATAATAAAAACATCTTTATTGTACAATAATTGATAGAAACAAGAGTTAATTTCCTATGGCATATTTCTGGTCACAAGAATATTACCAAACTTCTAAAAAAAGACCAAAACCTTTCTATTATTAAACATTGAAATAAATGCAAGTTATATATACATTTAAGATGAATAAAAACAAGTAAGATAATAATTTATCCGCTTATTCCCACTCAGGATTGCAGATGGCTGTGAACTGTCTCAGCAGTTCAGGGTGCAGGGTGGACGCCAGTCCTGGAATCTAAAAGTTTCCCAATATTTTTCTTTGTCTCTCTCTTTAATATTATTTTTGTCCACTGGCTTATAGCATCCATAAGTGACTATATGCAGTTCTTTTACCTCGCAGAGACATAAATCGATAAGTGATGTTATCTGTGCATGGAAAGTGTTTTCTGGCTGGGTTTAGTTTTAGGTCTTCCGCTTTTCATAGAAAGAGACATTCTTCGCCATGCATTGTCTCATCTCTAATTTTATCTGCCATCTATTAAAAAAAGTAACTGGGCTGGTGCGGTGGCTCACGCCTATAATCCCAGCACTTTGGGAGGCTGAGGCGGTCGGATCACGAGGTCAGGAGATCAAGACCATCCCGGCCAACACAGTGAAACCATGTCTCTACTAAAAATACAAAACAAAAAAAAAAATTAGCTGGGCTTAGTGGCGTCCCAGCTACTCGGGAGGCTGAGGCAGGAGAATGGCGTGAACCCGGGAGGTGGAGCTTGCAGTGAGATCGCGCCACTCCACTCCAGCCTGGGTGACAGAGTGAGACTCCGTCTCTAAAAAAATAAATAAATAAATACAAATAAATAAATAAAATAAAAAGATAACTGATGAACCCAGAAAAACAAGTTTCGGTCAACTGTCAGATAAAAAGGGATTGTATTATGCTTTTTGTTTGGAGAAGACAGAATATTTAATGTTCTATTTCATCACTGCAGGAGAAAAATAATCTTGCCAGGGCTCTGTGAGAGGGGAAAATTCTGATACGCATTTGCCTCTTTTGAGTTATCAAAGTTACTGCTAAGTGCCACAAAGTCTGAGTCTCACCCTCCTAAAGAGACAAAAGTGGCATTCAGTGGTACACATGCATTTCTGGAATTGCCATAGGTGTCATAACTATTACCCTTCACACGAAAGCAGCATAGACGGAAGAAGATACCTGTAGGCTTACCAGGGGAGGTTGCTGCTGGAGAGTTGGGAGAGGGGCTTCCCAGGGGTCATCTAAGCCCTTTCCCTGTCTTCAAGAATAACTTCACATAAACTGTCCCCTGCAGATGGGAACATTCTCTCTATTTTAATGTTTCCAAACAACAGATAGGTTCACTTTTTTGCAGGACTGTAAGGAGGGGTTCATTCATGATTTTTCTTTATTGCTGAGAGACAAAAAACCTAGATACCTAGATACATATATCTTACCCATAAGATACTATAAGATCTTCGTGAACAGAAATGACTTATCCCCATAAAAGCTAAGTCTATTCTGTCCCTATTCAATAGCCAATATTAAAGATGATAATCAAATCTATACTACTTACAGCTAAAATTACAAATAGGTAAATCTAAACGTGTCATTGTAGTAGAGCCGCCTCTCCAATACCATGAACTTTATTTGGCTTAGTTGGGTATAGAAAATAGAAATATACAGTGGCAATGCAGATATATATGGCTCTTTCCTGATGGTGTTTTGAGGACAGTACTATTTGTCCCTGAGATCTTTCTTCTGCCTGGCTGATCTGGTAGCCTGTATATTAATTTCAACTTATTTATTGTTTAAAAAAAAAAAAAAAAAAGAGGTGAAGCTAGGGCCCATCTGAAACAATGTTATTAAAAATGTGTGAACAAGGACTTCAGCCCATTTGTTGTATTCATAAAGGGTGGCTTCACAACCTCCACCCCCTTTACAAAATTTAGTTCACAGAGTTTTGACAGTCATGCAGTCTTTTTCTGAAGTATTTCCAAAAGTGAGACAAGAAAAAAACTCATATTGAAACAATATTTGTGTGTTTTCGATAGCAGCTAATTACCTCTATGCTGGTTTGAGTTATCACCAGGCTATTTCAGGAGGATCCAGTGCAAATCAGCAGCTGGTGAGGCATCTCCTCAAAGTTCTTTGGCTTCTAGCTCCTCAGTGTCCATTAGCTTACTGTTTCACTAAAAGGGGGATGGAGGGCATCTGGTACAAACTTTTACTGGATGACTGCTCAGGAGAAGAACTACTCGGGCCATACCTTCAAAAGCTTGCTAATAAAATGAAGTTACTGGAAGTTAATTAATTTTCCTTTTACAGGACAGAGAATGGAGCCTGACACATAATAGATGTTTAATACATTTTCACTGATAAACTGAATAAATGAATTTATGATTATTCAGGAATTGGTGCTTTTTTATGCTTAAATGTTATTCCCCCCCGCTCCCCCCAACCTCCCGCCCAGTGTTCTGGTGATTAACTGTTTTGGTTGCTGTGTGCAAAGGGCCTAACAGTGGAAAAGAGAGACAGACCCTCTGATGGCATGCTATTTGAGGAATACAATTAATTCTAAGGAGTTCTACTCTGCAAAGTTCAAGTTCACTGCTTTTGCAGAATTTGGATGTGGGGAAATATGAAATGATTTTGACAACCGATCTGATTCTTCTAAGAGTTTAGTTTCACAACAGCTCTTGATAGTTTAAAAGAGGAAAGCATGGGGTATAGTAATTTAGCCATGGCTAAGACGTGACTAAGACACCTACATTTTCTTCATTGGAAAGAAAGATCTGTCAGTGTTAACTAGTTGACTCCTTTCCTCTCTGCTTCTCTTAGTGTGGACCTCTGTGCTTGTTTCCTGACGAAAACAAGACTGCCCACAGAGTACTCTCCTCAACCCTGTTAGTCACAGCCTCCCTACCTCCCCAGCCCCATTGCCTAGCACTCTTTCTTCTCTGTCATACCAGCAGCTCTGATCTCCTGGGCTCTCCAGACCCAAGTCCTTCTTCTCATCTCACCACTAGCATCACTTCTTTTTCTGCTCCTTGGATAAACTCAGATCTGTCATTATAGGCTGTAGTGAATTCCTATCATTTTACCTTGCTTTGGCATATTTTGAATATAAGCTAGATTTTCTCATCCCAGAAGCAGGGGCTGTCACTCTTGACACAATTCCCAGTTCTTGACCTCCTTCCAATTCCTCACTGTGATAAATCCAGATATCTGCCTTATATAATCACCTCCTGGTGACTACTTCTCTCTAGGACACAACCTACTTGACTCGCACCACTGACCCCCACACCTTGCATAGACTGAGCAGATATATAACGATGGCCACCTCTCCATCTGATTCTAGACTGATTCTAGTTCCTAGAATCTCAGCATGATTCTAAGGAACTCATTCCAGCTTGCTCTAAACCCACCAATCTTGACTCCTTATAAGAAACATGTTTGGGTATCACCCTGGAGGCCAATAAAAGCTTCAGCCCACAGGTCTCTTGTTTTCTCTCTTGCTCCCCACCCACTAGCTGAGCGTGCTTGTCTGTGGTTCCCCACTTCCCATTAACCCTGTGAAGTGTGCTGTCCTCTTCCCTCTGAGGTCTGTAGGTAATAAACCACCTCTGTTATTTTATGTGTTTTGTTCACTTGCTTTCTCTGTCTCACCTGACTGATATACCTGAATATAGCTTCTTTGCTCATCAGGGCTCTCCCAGAGGGTGACTATTTTGCTTGGAGTCAATTGGACACAGGTAAGACAACAGCCACAATGGTGTCTAGCAGGATATTCCTGTGAGTGGGACACTTGGTCACAGGTCAAATGCTTAGGCATTAGGCTATCCACCAGGATTAAAAAAAATGTATTTTGTGAAAAGCATATTGTAAAAATCCACAATCAAATCCCTGGAGCCCCATAAGAGCAGAGCTAGAGTTCATAGCCACCTTCGTGAAGAAACTCTCACTACTAAATTAGAATATATATATATATATATATATACACACACACACATACGTATAAAATACCTTCTCACAAAGCTGTTTCTTTGCTTTTATAAGATTTATCCCCCAGTACAAAATAGGCTTTCCACAATTCTCTCATGTCCTTCTACATATGTTTATGTAATTGTTGGGTTCTTCCTTTTTCTCAGTGGGTTGTAATCTTTATGAGGGATGGAATCCATTTCACTTTTCTCATTTTTACGTCCTTGTTGCTCTAGCATTAAGTCTGGCACATAGTAGGCGCTTAATAAATACTTACTGAATGAATAACATTTAAAAGAGATATATGATCTCCGTCATAGCAGGTCTGAAAAAGGAATGTGACAGCTGCAATAATAACTCATGTGAACAACAAGGTTAGCTGGTAAAATGTGTGGGTTTCCAGAAATCACTTTCCCCTCAAACGCATTTATAAGAATGTTATTGTTAGAAATTATTTCAGCTTCATGTTCATAAAGTCCTTGTCTGAAATCAAAAGTCATCTGGAAAGATTGGCTGGCTACAAGCCATGATCACTTAGATATGAATAAGTTGAGTTATTTAATACCAGGAGTTACTACGCTGGTGGCGTTACTCAACCTCCTGAGTGAGAAAGAACAAGACAGGGAAGCAGGTTTGCTGTGCGCTGGTGACCAAACTGAGTTAGGAAAGACAGAACACACACATACGCAACACGTCATAGAAAGCAGGTTTATTACTCACAGACAGGCAATGAGGGACAACAGAAGCCTAGGATTTATCACCAGCCAGTCCTCCTCAAGGTTCAGGAAAGCTGCCTGGAGCAGAAGGAGTCTCAAAATTCACGGGCACCACTTGCACTGCAGCTGAGGATCCCCAGACAGCAGCATCCCCACCCCCAGGTGGTATGCTCTGCGGCAATAGGAATGTCTGGGCTACAGCATTAAAGCACATTCTGTTTCTAGGGGAGCATGGCAACAGAGCCCCAGCTGTCAGGCCATTCTCCCTATCTCAGCATGTTCTAGTGATCCCAGCTGTTCTAGTGATTATTGAGAACTACAAACAAGAAGGGCGCTGGGGGAAGGTCAGTTCGATGCTTTCTGGAGAACTATCCTTCCAAGGTGGAGGTGAGTTTGGAAATTTAAAATACTTTCTGTTACAGAAAAGATACAAAATGACAGTGAAGCTTCTGCTAGCTCTGATGTGTGAGGGTTTTAGTGATTCAGACACCTGGGCTTCATGAGCCACTTAGGGAAGAGGAGACAGGACCTTGGGCCAGAGAAAAATGGGGATTTACAAAAAGATCCAAACACATTGACAGGCTATATCTTGCATGAAAACAAGGGCTAGATTAAAAAAAAAAATCTTCCAGCCTGTGTGGGGAGATTTCAATGGCAATAATCCATTGGAATTTGTCTCTGGAGAGAAAAATATACCTGATAATTTATTTGTAATTATAAGCTTCTCATACATGGTTTTAGATTTCAAATTTACATGCCCTCTGATTAGGGCACATACCTCGATTGAAGAGATACAACACCCCAGAAGAGATATGCACTATCAACTTGAAATGAGACTCTACACATACAGCCCAGAATAAATGATGACCTTTTATTCCAGTATCTCTCTCTCACACACACATACACCAAAAACCACTATAAGAAAAAAAACAAAACAAACAAACAAAAAAACAGCAGCAGAGTTGGTTCTTCACTTTGCCTAATCAAGAAATTCAGCCATTGGGATTATAAAATACTAAGTAGAAGTACAATTTGAATCTTTGAAGTTGTAAAAGAGGCAATAGGATACATAAGCAAGGCACTGTTTATTATTAGAAACCTTTAGGCAGACTAAGCCAGGCACCCTGCCTCATGCATGTAATCCCAGCTACTCGGGAGGTTGAGGCACAAGGATTGCTTGAGTCCAGGAGTTTAAGACCAGCCAGGGGCTCATGCCTGTAATCCCAGCACTTTGGGAGGCCAAGGCAAGCAGATCACTTGAGGTCACGAGTTCAAGACCAGGCTGGCCAACATGATGAAACCCAGTCTCTACTAAAATACCAAAAAAAAAAAAAAAAAAAAAGCAGGGCGTGGTGGCCTGTGCCTGTAGTCGTTCCACTGCACTTCAGCCTGGTTGACAGAGTGGGATTCCAAAAAACAAACAAACAAAAGAAAAAACAATCAGCCAGGGCAATATAGCAAAACATCATCTCTAAAAAAGAAACGAAAAAAATTGGCTTGGCATGTTGGCAGGCACTTGTCGTCCTACATACTTGAGAGGGTGAGAGGGTGAGCTCAGGAGTTTGCTGATACAGTGAAATCTAATCATGCCACTGGCATGCCAACCTGGGTGGCAGAGAGATACTGCCACTAAAAAATTAAAAATGCAGGCAGGCTTGAAAAAAAAGAAACAATACAGCTTGTAGAAGTGCAGCATTTACTTTGGAATGAAAACCTTAATGGATGAGTACACATAAGACTTGGTACAAATGGAAGGAGACGTGGCACACTGAGAGGTGGATGTGAAACTCAGGACAGATGGAAGGAGACTTCGCGCACTGAGAGGCGGATGTGAAACTGAGTAGAGATGGAAAGACACGCGGTGCACTGAGAAGCGGACGTGAAACTGAGGGAAGATGGAAAGAGACTGGCGCACTGAGCGGTGGACGTGAACCTGAGGAGAGATGGAAGGAGACCTGGTGCACTGAGAGGCGGACGTGAAACCGAGTGGAGATGGAAGGAGACGCGGTGCACTGAGAAGCGGATGTGAAACTGAGTGGAGATGGAAGGAGACCTGGTGCACTGAGAGGCGGATGTGAAACTGAGGGGAGATGGAAGGAGACCTGGCGCACTGAGAGGCGGATGTGAAACTCAAGAGAGATAGAAGGAGACGTGGCGCACTGAGAGCCGGATGTGAAACTGAGGGAAGATGGAAGGAGACCTGACGCACTGAGAGCCGGATGTGAAACTGAGGGGAGATGGAAGGAGACGCGGCGCACTGAGAGCCGGATGTGAAACTCAGGGGAGATGGAAGGAGACCTGGTGCACTGAGAGGCGGATGTGAAACTGAGGGGAGATGGAAGGAGACTGGGCACACTGAGAGACGGATGTGAAACTCAGGAGAGATGGAAGGAGACGTGGTGCACTGAGAGCCGGATGTGAAACTGAGGGAAGATGGAAGGGGACCTGGCGCACTGAGAGGCGGATGTGAAACTCAGGAGAGATGGAAGGAGACGTGGCGCACTGAGAGCCGGATGTGAAACTGAGTGGAGATGGAAGGAGACTGGGCACACTGAGAGACGGATGTGAAACTCAGGAGAGATGGAAGGACACATGGCGCACTGAGAGCCGGATGTGAAAGTGAGTGGAGATGGAGGCGGGGCGCACTGAGAGGCGGCTGTGAAACTCAGGAGAGATGGAAGGAGACGTGGCACACTGAGAGCCGGATGTGAAAGTGAGTGGAGATGGAGACGGAGCGCACTGAGAGGTGGATGTGATCCTGAGGAGAGATGGAAGGAGACCTGGTGCACTGAGAGGCAGATGTGAAAATGGAGATGGAGACGCGGTGCACTGAGGAGGAAGTGAAACTGAGTGGAGATGGAAATAAGTAGTATAGTGAAAGACTGATGTGAAATAGCACAAATGGAAGGAGAAGCAGTACATTGAAAGATATGTTTTCATATGGAAAGAAGAACTACCCCATATTGCAGCGCAGAGAGGCAGAAAAATATGAGAGAAACGCACAACAAAATGTGCAGATTTTACATACATCTCATTGTAGTTTCAGAAAAAAAAAAGATTAAGGGAGACAGAAGATGTGAAAAGATAAAAGTGAGAAAAATTCTTAATCCTCAGGTCCAGAAAGTCTAAAGAGTCCAGATATTTTTTAAATGACATCTAGATTTAGTACATGAAAAGAAGAAAAAAAGAAGTGACTGAGACAGACTGATCTTAAAATAGACACAGAACAAAAGACAGATAACCCATAAAGTAAAGGCTCACTGCGCTTCCCATCAGCATTTTGGGAGAGGAACGATGGTGTAATACAATCTTCAATGCACTCAGAGAAAAGAGTGTCAACCTAAAACTCTATTCACAGTAGTCTTTCTTTCAGAATTGTAAAATAAAGACATTTTTGGACAGATAAAAACTGAAAAATCACCGAAAAAAATATTCCCCATGGGAATTTGTAAAGAATGTATTTCAAGAGAAGAGTAAATGAGCCTCTGTGAAAAGTCTGAGTTACCGGAAGTAATGTAGATACCAAAGCCAGTGGTAAATCCCTATTGGGCAATTATTATGCACCAGATAATTTCTGTAAGCATGTTTTAGTTCATTTAATCCTTATTACGATACTATGAGTAAGATCCTATTATTAAACAAGTTTAACTTGTCTTAAGATGACAGAATTTATAAGTGGCAGGAGATTCACAGCCAGGCAACGTGCCTGCAGACACCACTGCTTACTACTCTGTTGTGGTAAATAATAAATATTGACATTATAAAGCAATAATGGCAATGTCTAATCTGTGAGGAAGTAAACAGGTTACCAAGAAAACACTAGGCAATGACAAATAACTTGGGGATGACTAGAATTAAATGTTCTAAACTTAAATTTTTCTTAAGTAGAATGCAAATACTGGACCTAGTAAGCACGATTGTTAAATTTGCTAGAATAATCACTAAAAGAGAAAGTAACAGCTTCTAAGCATATAGGAAAAAAAAGCAATTGAATGAGAAAAAGCAAATAACAAAATATGTCAATTAAAAAGAAACTAAGAAAAAGACATAAATTAGTGAGACAAAAACATAGTAAGATGGGAGAAATAATTCTAAATAGATCAGTAATTGTTATAAATCTAAAGACACCAAACTTTCTATTTGAGAGACCAGGATTAACAGAATGGATTTTATAAATTTATTTTGTTGAAAAGATACATACATATTCAAAGTTAAAACACAGAAAAGGTATAGCTTACAAATATTAACTATAAGTAACTGGAGCAACTATATTAGCATCTAAAGAGACAGATTTAATGTAAATGCATGAATAATGACAGGGAAAGTCAACACATACCATTAAAGTTTCCATTGTTTAAGAAGATACGATAGTTTTAAACCTGTGTGACCAGCTTCAAAACATACAAAGTGAAAACAGATTTAAAGTAAAGATGGAAAAAGTCACAATTATGATTGTGAAAGATTTTTACATGCCTCTCTCAGTAATTGAAGATAAAAAGTAAATCTACTAGAACGTAAAACGATTTTAAGAACAAACCTTGAAGCTCTATTTTCCTGACTTACAGAGTATTGAATACCTCTATCTAGCCATTTATTTCTATCCATATTTGATATGATTAACAAATTCAACTATATTATATACATGATACATAATGTTATTCTCAAGCAAATAAGAAACATATAGAAAAGTTAGTCTTAATAAATTTAAAGTGTTGCTATATCATCCAAACTCCTTCTCAGAATATAATTAAATTAGAAAAATGCTTTTAAAACTAGTAAACCTCTATATGTGTAGAAGTTTAAATAATAAGAGAAACCATAGTAAAATTTAGAAAATTTTATAATTAAACAGTTATAAAATTTATGCACAAATGACTTGGAGAATATGGATAAAATGGAATTCAGAAATATATATTAGAAATATATGTTATTTGAAAAGAAAGCATAAAATTAATGAGATAATGTATTAGAAAAATACTGGGATGAATGCAAAGACAAAGAAAGAAATAAGAATAGAAATTAATGCAATAGAATGCACACTTATACTTCAGAAGATTTCATAATCTAAAGGAATTTTTAAATTAGTAAAACAAGCCTACATTCATAGTACACACTTGAATTGTGACAGAGATGGCATTTCAGATCACTCGGGAAGCAGTGGACTACTCAATAAATAATCAGGGCACTGATTATACATTTAAAAATGAAATTATATTATCTATAAAAGGCTTGGTAGACAATATGTGAGAATATTGTTATGATTTTAGTATAGGGAAGGATTTCTCAAATTTAAAATGATGCAAATCATAAGCAAAAAATTGATAAATTCCAGTTTTATATAATTTAAAACTTGTTTGTTTTATAAAAAAATAGAGTGAGAATATAGTAAGCTAGAAATAGTTCAACTGTCCATCAATAATAGAAAGAATAAGTGAATTAAAGTATATTCATATAACTGAATACTATAGAAAAAGACAAGATACAGCTAAATTCAGCAATGGTAAATATTAAAAATACAAGTGAAAGAAGCTTATCAAAGAGCCTTATATATAACATAATTTCACATAAATGAAGTTTAAACCGTATCGAATATATATATATTCATATTTTTTGCCTGTTGCTTTTGTATTCTATCTCATTTTAAAAACTCAAATAAGATATTATTTCTATTCCTTTATACATACAATGTTATTTCAGATTTATCTTCAATTACTTTGCTTTCTTTTCTTTGGAAAGGAAATTAGTATATGTGAATATGTGTTAATATGTATGAATATATATACATATGACTATATATGGATGAGAAGACATGATAATTTACAAAAATGGCTAAAAATATTTCTAGCTACATGAATAAAGAAAGTCTACATCTCCACCTTTAAATCTGGATGGGGACATGTCTTGCTTTGGCCAGTGGGACAATATCAAGTGTGATGCAGTCAGAGACTTGCAAAGTGCTTGAGAATCAGGGCGTGTTTTCTTGCTAAATTTAGAGCCCTGAAATCATGTTAATGAGGCTGAACTAGGCTGATGGAAGATGAGTGGTCACATGGGGAGAAGACATGTGTCCTAACTGGCAGTCAACCAGCCCTTGGTACTACCTGTGGAATACCAGACATTTAGCTGAGACCATCCTTGTCAGTGTAGCCCCCAGCTAAACTGCATGAGTAATCTCATCAGAGATCAGCTGATAGAATGTAGTGAAAAGAATTGTCCTACATAAATCTGAGCTCAATAACCAGCTCTTGTTGTAAGCAATTAAGTTTTGGGATGGTTTGTTATTTGGCAAAACATTTGGCAACGAGTATGTCTATAAAACTTCTAAAGTACTAGCAGCATTTTATTTCTTCACTCAAATAAAAATTTTATGTATTTATTTTGTTACTATCCTTAAAGTTTCATATATCTACTTTGTACTTTCTAATGTGTGATACATCATAAAACTTTCGAAAAAGAAAAAAATGTTCTTAAATTTTATGTCTACTTTAAGGATCATTACAAAGTAATTAAATAAACATACATTTAGCCAAACAAAAACTGAGTTTACCACAACAGATACTTACTAAACTCTGTACTTCAACAATACGAGTAAAGATCCGAAAAGGAAATTTTCTGATTTTCAGAGAAAGAAAAGCAAAGTAATTGAAGACAAATCTGAAGCATCATTGAATGTACAAAGGAATAGTAATAATATCATTTGAGTTTTAAAGATAAACAAGATAGCACACAAGAGCAACATGCAAAAAAGTTGATTGCATTCTACACGCTAGCAATGGATAATTAAAAATTGAAATAAACGGCTGGGTGCGGTAGCTCATGCCTGTAATCCCAGCACTTTGGGAAGCCAAGGGAGGTGGATTACCTGAGGTCAGGAGTTCAAGACCAGCCTGGCCAACATGGTGAAACCCCATCTCTACTAAAAATACAAAAATTAGCCAGCTGTGGTGGTGTGTGCCTGTAGTCCCAGCTACTTGGGAGGCTGAGGCAGGAGAATTGCTTGAACCCGGGAGGTGGAGGTTGCAGTGAGTCAAGATCACACCACTGCACGCCAGCCTGGGTGGCAGAGCAAGACTCCATCTCAAAAATAAATAAATAAATTGAAATAAAGAATATAATAAAATAATGAAATACTTAGGGATAAATTTAATACATATATGCAAAACTTACACCCTGAAAATTATAAAGCATTGCTGAAAGAAGTGCTTAAAAGACATAAATCAAGAGATACAATATTTTTATATATTGAAAGAAAGTGTTAAAATGTCAGTTCTTCCCAAACTGATTTATAAATTAAACATAGTTCCAATCAAAATTTCAGAAGCTTTTTTAGAAATTATCAAACTACTTCTAAAATTTATGTGAAAAATAAAAATGACCACAAGTAGCAAAAATCATTTTGAACAAAGAAGATGGAGAATTCACACTAGCTGACTTCAAGCCATATGAAGCAGCTATGGTATCGGTGTAAGGATAAATATTAGATTCCTGGAACAGAATAGAGTCCAAAAATGAACCCACATTTTTATGTTCAACTGCGTCTCAGAAAGGGGGCCAAGGTTATTCAAGGAAGAAAGTATTACCTTTTCAACAAAAGATCCTGGGACTACTGTATTTTCATGCTTATAATAAATAAGAAAATATTGACTTCATACCACATACCAAAATTAACTCAAAATGCATTATACACCTAAGCATAATCATTATAATATAATAAATATAGAAGAAAATATGAACAAGTCTTTGCAGCTTTGGGGCATGTAAAAACTTCATAAACAGGACACAAAAATCATGAGTCACAAAAGAAAAATAAAATTATTCTTATCAAAATTAAAACTTTTACTGTTTGAAAAACACTGTATTTTAAAAATGAAAGGCAAGCTACAAACTGAGAGAAAATATCATCTCATAAAGAATTTGTATTGAGGATATATTAACAAACTCTCCCAACTCAATAATAAAAACAGAAATAACTCCCAAAAATGGGCAAAAGATATGAACCTTGAAAGACATATTATAAGTACCAGATAAACTCATAAATATATGTTCAACATCATTAATCATCGGAGAAATACAAATATAAGCCACAATATGATACTTCTATATATTCATTATTATGGCTAAATTTTTTTTAAAAAAACTAAAGATTTCAACTGTTGTCGAAGATGTAAAGAAATTGGAACTCTCATATATCGATGAGGGGAATATAATATGGCACGATCATTTTGGAAACCAATTTGGCAGTTTCCATTAAGTAAATAATAGACTGAAAATATGATCTAGTTGTTCTACTCTTAGGTTTTTACTCAAGAGAAACGGAAACGTGTCTATGCAGAGGCCTTTACATAAATGTTTGTAGAGCTTTATTTGTAATAGCCCCAGACTGAAAATAAAAAACTAAATATGTATCAACGGGTGAATGGATAAGCAAATTGTTGTGTATCCATACTAGAGAGTGGCTGATTTTAATGTATGTGATGTCAATGAGTTTGCAGGGTTCCTAAACATTTGAAAATGGGCTTTCTGTGAGCTGGTATATGCTGACTGTAGCACACCACTGGATATAAATAATGTATATGTGAAAGTCAATTTGTTTGCCTTGTATTTGTATAATGCCTTTTAATTCATAGTATTTTGCACAGATTTTTCTGGAAGACAGGAAATTTTCAAGTATATTTAATACATGAGGAAATTAAAACTCAGAGTTTGGTGACTTACATTATCAGGAAGGATGACTTTGGCAATCAGTAATAGAAAACCCTTACTTAAACTGACTTAAAAACAAGGAACTTAATATTGTCCATAATGGGAAGATCAGGAGAAGGCAACGTCTTAGAATTGATTATGAGGCTCATGATGTGCATAACCACCCTACGTTTTCCTTTTCTCTCCTCTGACATCCTTTGTGTTCATTGGATTTTCAGGCTGGTTCAGGCAGCCCAGCAGGACTTGACAATGTCCAATGCAAAGACAGAGACTATCTACCCCTCGCCCATGACTTAGGGTCAAGGACCTTTTCTTAGAAACTCCTCCTATAGATCTACCTAATTTCCCATTGGCAACAACTGGATAAAATGCCCTTGGCTAGAGCACTCCGGAGTGAAAGGGTGGGATATGTTGGCTGACTTTCACTAAACAGTTTATACCAATAGCGCTGGGATGTGTCATCCTCCTCTGATATCCCTTGGAGAAAGGTGGATATCCAAACTCGTCTGGCATTCTGTTAGGGAGGAGGCGATGGGGAGTGGAGAAGCAACTGATGGTGTCCATTCATTTGCGAAAGTCACGGTCTAATTGGTGGTGACATTGGGAATCTAACTTTATAATCAAGTCCCACCTTCCTAAACATGACATCTAGCTTCTCTGCGAAGATGTAGGCAAAAATTATGATTTTCCTCTTTGAACTCCTGAAACATTTTTGAATGCTATTATCTTTGTTGGTTTATTAGTTCAACAAAGTTGAATGGATTAACTACTTACTACATTTTACATTCTAGCAGGTGTGTGTGTGTGTGTGTATTTCTTGTGTGGGCATATATATAAACTCTCTGTAACTGGGGGAAACACTTTTTTTAACCAATTTACACTCTCACAGTCCGTTACATATAACTAGGGGGAAACTTTTTTAAACCAATTTACACTCTCACAGTACCTTGCACATGTATGTATGTGTGTGGGTGTGTGTGTGTATATATTATATATTATATATTGTTGACCACCAAAGAAAACTAATATTTTCAAGCTTCCCTTTCACCAGTCTTTGAACTATTTTTTTCTCTTACTTTCCAATATTATTCACCACCATTCAACAGAAACAAACTTTAAAAGCAGAGCCCCAAATGAGAATTTTTTTGAAATGATTGCAAGCAATGGAAAATAAACTGTTACAGCCCCAAATACCTTGCAACTGTAACTATAGTGTTCACTGCAGTGATTACTATAATGTGCAGTGTGGCAGAGTTATAGTTACCACAGGAATCATAAATTTGATTGTCTGAGATTTTGTGTGTTCAAAATCTCAACTATAATACTGCCTTCACATATTGTTTTTTCATTCGTTATACATGTACTTGGGTCCAAAGTAGGCAACCCAAACTATAAAATCAAGAATGTTGGTCACTTTCTTCAAAGATTACTAACTCAGCAATGTTAGAGTTAATTCAGAAAGTGCATTTGTAAGAAAAAAATGATCTTACTTCAAGCATAGCAGACTGAATTCTTCCAACTCAGCTTACACCATTCCTTGGAAAATAAATTCCCTCTATGTTTTCAGCTTTTGATCTATTCACTTTAACAATATTTATGTGAATTGGTGCTATTCCATGTGGATGACAGATGATGCAGTTTTATCAACGCTTTGTTGGTTGTCTTTTGTTTTCTAATAATTTATTTATATAGTATTTCCTAGTAGATTATCTCCTGGCTTCAGTCTTTTAATAAAGTTCATCTTATTTTCTGAAATAAAATGCTTTAATTATTACCCATAATATAGTGACCATAATTCTCTCATCGAAGCTGCCTCTTCTACTGTTTCTTCCCCATACAAGAAAATTGCAAAGATAATACCGGCTATGTGCTGCTTGAAACACAAGGAACCCATGACTCTGAATTTAATGGAGAGAGAGTATGAATTCCTGTGGATATAAAGTTTTGTAAGACTCTAGATTTACCCTTTACTCTCTACTACAGGTCTGTCTTGATACTTCAGAAAAAGTTAGCTTTTCCATTAACTTTGGAGACACACAAAATTTCCCACATCTTTTTGCCTACAGTAGACCAGAGGATTGCTTAACATCTGTTTTCCCCTTGAGAGGTCAACAAGAATTTCCCACACCACTGCTTTGGCATGGCTAACAGCGGCAGCTCATCTTATTGAGCCATTTCTTCCACATCTCATGTTATGGATAAGAAATGTTCATAATCATTAACGCCCAAAACTTGCAGACTATGCTGTTTTATTTTGAATGCTTTACATTGTCACAATTTTCCCATTTCTTTAATGTAGGCAGACAAAATCTACATGCTGTCTCTCTCAACAGAGGCCCAAGGTTGTTGATTAAAACTTTGCTTGACAGAAAGCATTTAAAAATGATTGTCGAAGTAAAAATATAGAAAAGAATATGATAGTTGTGATGATGCCAATTTCAGTAAGGGATGCATATGTAGTGTAATTTATTGCATTAACTACAACTAAATCAAAACCTGCGACAAGATGGCATATTTAGCAAACTCAGTCATTTTGTAATGATGAGGTGATGACTCATCACAAACTAGGAAAAGACAAGGGCGACATTCATTGCATCAACATGTTGGCAGGCAGATTTGGCAATGTCACTTGTCTCCAAGTTGCTTATGCGTAATTCACCTGAATAATCTTCAGAAGCCTAAGTACTTATGTCAAGTTCAAATTACTCAATTCACAACAAATGAGTGAGGAAAGAAGACAGAATAAATTAGGCATACACACACACACACACACACAAACACACACATACGAACGTTTACTGTGCTCATTAGAATACCCAGCAAACATTTTTAGATAAGTTTTTAGACAGCTGGGTATCATATCAATAGCAAATATCCCTCATGTTTAATTTGGAATGTGTCTGTCTCTGAAATAATAACTTGTGCAGAAACATGAGGATTGGCTCTGAGAAATTGCCTTAAGTTCATGTTAAATGAGCAGCAAAAGATTTCATGAAATGAAATGAAATCTACATGGTGAACTGAGTTGATGTAGATGGGACTCAGTCCACTAATACACATGGAAATCCTGGATAAAATATAATAACTGCAGCACATAAATCCTGTAATAGGAGGAAAAAATTAACTAAGTGGCAATCACATTCAGCTCTCATTAAATGCCTGTGATGAAAATAACAATGAAATACAATCTTACTCCTATTAGAATGGCTAAAATCCAAAAAACTGACAATACCAATTGCTGGAAATGATATGGAGCAACAGGAACTTACCGTCATTGGTGGTGGGGAAGCAAAATGACAAAGCCACTTTGGAAGACTGGCAGTTTCTTACAAAGCTAAACATACTACTGGCATATGATCCAGCAATTGTGCTCCTAGGTATTTTTCTGACTGGTTTGTAAACTTATGTCCACAGAAACATCTTCATGCAAATATTTTATAATTGTAAAAAACTGGAGGAATCCAAGATGCCCTTCAGTAGATGAATGGACAGAATTCATAAAATGAATATTATTTATCAATAAAAGGAGTGAGCTACCAATCCATATGACAAAATGGAAACATCTTAAACTCACATTGCTAAGTGAAATAAATATATGAAGAGGCTATATAATACATGATTCCAATCGTGTGACATTCTTAAAAAAACAAAAAAATAGGGACTGAAAATAGATGAGTGGTTGCCAAGGGTTTGAGGAAAGGGAAGGGTTAAAAAGATAAAGCACAGTAAGTTTTTCTTTTCTTCATAATTTTATTTATTTGTTTATTTATTTATAACTATCAAAAATGTAAAACAGCTTTGGGTTACAAGAAAGTTGCAAAGATAATACTGAGAATCCCCCAAACCCACTCAAGTCTTCCTATTATTAACATTTCACTCTAGTATGGTATATTTGTCATAATGAATGAGCCAATATCAACACATTATTCTAAGCTAAAGTCTACTCTTTATTCAGATTTTCTTAGTTTTTATCTAATGTTCTTTTTCTGTCCCAGGATCCCATCTTGGATACCACATTACCTTAAACACTGCCTCAGCCAGGTGATCAAGGTCAACGTCTACTGTGATAAGTCATGGTTTTGGTGTGTACCCTTGATGTGATGTGATAAAAATGGCACTTTACCTCTGTGGTCTTCCTCTGAAAAATCCCGTAACAGCAGCCTAATCATGAGAAGCATATCAACAAAACTCAGACTCAGGGACATTCTACAAAATACCAGGCTGTCCCTCCCTGAAATTGTCAAGTTCACCAAAAACAAGGTGAATCTAAGAAACCTGTTACAGCCAAGAGGAGCCTAAGAAGACATGAGGACTAAATATAACATGGAATTCGGGATAGGATTGTGCTACAGAAAATGTATGTGCTAATGTGAGATGTTAACAGTTGGAGAAACTCAGTTTTGGGTATAAGGAATTCTCTGTACTATGTTTATCTAAAAACAATTCCATGGTGAGCAAACTTAAGCATAGAAATGTTAAATAAATTGTCCAAAATAGAGAAGTAAATAGCAGTGCCAGGTTTCAAGCATAAGAATCATCAACTCTGAACTTTAAACACAGCTCTGTATGGTACTTTTGTTTATATCAATGCCTAGATAGATAAATAGGTAGATAGATAATTTCCAAGTGCTAGAAACAAAAAAGGAACTAAAACTGATAAAGAATATAAATGAGGCCAGGCAGGGTGGCTCACACCTGTAATCCCAGCATTTTGGGAGGCCGAGGCAGGCAGATCACTGAAGGTTCGGAGTTCAAGACCAGCCTGGCCAACTGGGGAAACCCTGTCTCTACTAAAAAAAAAAAAAAATAGCCAGGCATGGTGGCATGTGCCTGTGAAGCAAGAGATGTGAGAGGAAAAACAAATTTTTCCTCTTTCTTTTGGTATGGGCAGCTTCCCCCTTGAATCCCTCCTCACTCCTTGTGATTTTACCCTGCTCTGTAAGTTTTATGAGTTTATAGATTCCTGTTTTCTGTAACTAGTGTCTGTAAGTCTCTGTAGCACCGTGGAGGTAATGAGACATGCTTGAGCAAGCTTAGATTGCAGCCATCTGGGCGCCATAGCGAAGGACACGAGATAAGGCTGTGCAGGCATCTTGAGCAAACCTAGATAACAGCCACCTGGCCTGCACAGCAAGAATCATGTGTAAGCTTGAGTTAGGAACCTGTCACAGTTTGATTAACTGCCTTTGTTCTGCTTCTGTAAGCTTGCTTTCCACACCCCACAAGCTTTGCGCCACTGGCAAGCCACCCTCCTTCAGTTGCATGAATAAAAGTCAAGCCCTGTCTTCTTTTGTTGCTCAGCCTCTGGATATTAATCCACTAAGCCAGTGGCAACCTAAATAAAATCCTCCTGTTCCACCCATCTGGTCTCTCCAGTCTCCTCATTCCTGCAACACCTGCAATCCCAGCTACATGGGAGGCTGAGGCAGGAGAATCACTTGAACCTGGGAGGCAGAGGGCACAGTGAGCCAAGATGGTGCCACTGCACTCCATCCTGGGTGACAGAGAGAGACTCAGTCTCAAAAAAAAAAAAAAAAAGAATATAAGTGAATGTTGACCTCATGGGGACTCACTGGTGTTTCAGACATCAAGACTATAGGCTAGAGTTCAAGACCCAGTGAGGAGATGTGATATGATTTTGTGTGAGGCAAGCATCAAAAGCAGACACCTGTGTGTAAAGCCCAGAGATCTGAAGAGCTAACCTGTCTGTGAAAAGGGAATTAGATAAAACACAGGCTACCAGTTCACAGATGCTAGAGAGAGCTTGCTGTCAGCCTAGGGGGAATTCTCACCAACTGAAAAATTCCTATCAGTGTTCAATGACATACGACATTCATAGAGATTCTGAATTGCCCAAGGAGTTTCCAAATTGTAATTCTAATCCATGAGTTTTGGGCAATTTAGTGGCTTTGTGATAAGAAAGGGGAAATGCAAAACTTCTCTTGTAAGACTCGTGGTGTGAGCTGGTCCTGAAGTTCTTGATCATTTTGTTAGCACCCAAACTGGTTTGTCAACAAACTTTGAGAGTCAAAAGCTTGAGAGACATGCACATCAAAGACCATGACAAAAAGGGAAGAAAAGCAACAACAGCACAGAAGACCCTCTGGCCCTCTGCAGGCTGGGTTACAGCCTTCTCTTCACCATTGCATTTAGATTATAGCCATTGCAACAGTACAATGATGCTCCTACACCCTGTACAGCTGTATCATCCACCAGATTGTCAGCTTACTGAGGGCAGGGCCAGACTACCCCACAGCTGGTCTGTCTCTCACATATAGCAGGAACTCAATAAATATTTGTTGCACTGAAAATATAGCCTTTATAACTTGGATTAGTCTCTGGTGGGCACAGGATAAAGCTCCATGTCAACTCCCTAGACACCTCCCCAGACTTATTTAGGACATTTTGTGCCTCAATGTGCAATCTTTAACCAGCAGATTAAGCCTTTCAAAAGTAATGTCTTGGCCAGGCACAGTAGCTCAGGCTTGTAATCTCAGCACTTTGGGAGGCTGAGGTGAGCAGATCACTTGAAGTCAGGAGTTTGAGACCAGTCTAGCCAACATGGCAAAACCCTGTCTCTACTAATAGTATAAAAATTAGCTGGGCATGGTGGTGCATGCTTGTAATCCCAGCTACTCAAGAGGCTGAGACATGAGAAGCAGTTGAACTGGGGAGGCGGGTGGAGGTTGCGCTGAGCCGAGATCATGCCAGTGCACTCCAGCCTGTGTAACAGAGCAAGAAAATATCTCAGAAAAAAAAAAAAGGTAATTTTTTTTCTGGATACCTTGCTGGTGCTTCAAGTACAGCATAGCTGAGACAAAGTATGTTCTTTTCTCTCAAAACTTTATGGTACCACCTTATTTCCATGATTTTTTTTTCTAAACACTACCAAACATGTGGTCCTGGAGAGACAGAGGTAACTTTTCCTGCTCAACTCTAACCACACCTGCCTCTGGCACCACCCTCACACCTACCCTAACTTGTGAGGGCTGTGCTCAGATTCACCCCCACTAACCAGACCTTCCCAGCCTGTGTCCTGTCCCTCTCAGGGCCATGCTCTGCATAATCTGTTGATTGGGAAGGTGGTCTGATAAAAGAATTGATAGAATTTGAGTGTGGGAAGTAGCCTTAGGGCTGTTTACCTTCCAGGTACCCAAAGCCAACTGGAGAGATTTTTAAGTCCTTGATTACCAAGCCCCACCCTCAGGTTATTATCACAGTACTGGTTTGCCAACAAACATTGAGAGTCAAAAACTTAACCCAAGGTGCCTCATTTTATATACAATGAAACAAAGAGCCAGTGAGGCCCTAAGCTCAGGCCAAGTCTGCAGTTATTGAGCTGAGCGGCAGGTTCCGCAAGACAATCCCACACTCTTGAGTCATTAAGGGTTCATTTCTATAGGTTCACAGCTCTATACCTCACAAGGCTGTTTGCATTTAAATGCATATCGTAAGAAGGTTATAATAGGATTCTTCCTCACTCTCAGCTGAGACCTTGAATGGCCTGAGCAGACCCTGGGAGAAAAAGGCCTCAACAGTGCCCCAGGCAGTGCTGCATCGGTGAAGCAGTTCTGGCCATAGAGCACTCCCCTGAGGCTCCTCCAGCCATGGCCCCTGTCCCCATGTCCCCGCTGGAGTGCTCCAGGGACTTTGAGAGACCTGGGTCAAGGTCTCACAATGAAACCTGCCTCCCTTGGCTGAGACACAACCCTCCAAGGACTGTCTACAAAAGGCCCTCAGGTTTACTCTTTTAACTACATGTGAGGCCTAGGGTCACAAATCCCATTTTTGGTAATTTGTTTTTACAAGGCCTGTGATGGTTTGAATGTTTGTCCAAATCTCATGTTGAAATGTGATCCCCAGTGTTGGATGTGGGGTCTGGTGGGAAGTATTTGGATCATGAGGCAGATCCCTCATAAATGGCTTGAATGACTTCACAGTTCACAGGAGATTTGGTTGATTAAAAGAGCTGGAAACTCTCGCTTCTCTTTCGTGCCCACTTTCACATGTAGCATGCTGGCTCCCCATTCACCTTCCACCATAAGTAGAAGCTTCCTGAGGCCTCACCAGAAGCAGATGCCAGCACCATGCTTCCTATACAGGCTGTAGAAATGTGAGTCAATTAAACCTTTCGTCTTCATAAATTACTCAGTCTCAGGTCTTCCAATATAGCAACTCAAAATAGACTAACACAGCCTATGTTTTAGATGGTGGGAGTGTGTGGCATGCTTGTCGTGTTTTTGGGCTGTAAGAGCTTCAGGAAGATTCCCATTTGGACATCTGACTCATTCATGCAGTCTGTGTAATGCCTAAATGCTGGATAATTTCTGCTGGGAAAAGCACAAACTGGCAGGGGACACACCTGAGGTTGAAGAATCCCCATTCCTCAGGGGGACTCACATCTTCAGGAAGGCTTCCCTGAATATAGTAGTTAAGAAGGAATTACGTAGGCAGATAGAAAGGGTATGGGAGTTCTTGGTAAGGCTTTTCTTTTTAGTGAAAAGCAGCCCCAAGTCATTTTCTAACAAAGTGAAGCCTGCAATCTGGGAGCTTGCATGGGTGAATGCCAACAGGAAGTAAGGACTAGACATTTTGAAAATGGTGGCACCATCTTCCCTTCTTTGCCAGCCACGCATACTGTAAAGGAGCAGACAAGATGGTGCTGATCAGTTGGAAAGCCCATTTGCATAAGAAAGCTAGGGTGGGGGAACCAGACTTCCCCCACGCACTATGTAGATGTCACACTGATCGAACCAATCTGTGAGCCCTATGTAAATCAGACAACACCTTCTCCAGCCTGCCTATAAAATCTGCTGCAGTCCACTGCCTCCCTTTTTTGGGACATCTCTCTGTCTTTCACAAGGAACTGCACTCCTCTCGCCTTTCTTCTGTCTATTAAACTTTCCAGTCCTTAACCTATTCACATGTGTTCATGTCCTGAATTCTTTCTCGGTGCATGACAATGAACCCCAGGTTATATACACCAGACGGTGTAGCCACTTCACTGGGGCTAACCTTCCTACAGCACCACAGACTCATAGCAGTGGTGGTGTGTTTGCCCATTTTCTTCCCAGGGCTGTGTTAAAATGAAAACCATGCTGATCTCTAGCCTTAGAAGCATCCTCAGCAGTCTCCTCTCTTTGTTCTTGACCTTGTTCTCCTTCACAAATGAAGGGAAAGTAATGGCTGTGCAAAAAAACTTGCCCCAGTCTTGCCTCAGATAGCTCAGGGAAGTCCCTTCGCTGTGGCTCTGCTGCAAGGTCATGTCATGTGCTCATTCTCCAAATTTATCACCGAACATAAGCACCATGCCCAGTGGCCCCTTTCTCTACAGTAGTGGTTTTCAAGCTTTGGGGTCATGGAAAATTACATGCAAAGCTTGCTTCATTGCCACCCATTACTGGGCTATATCCTAGACCTACTGACTCACACTTTTGTGGTAAGATTCAGTTGCCGCATTTTAGGAAGCTCCCCATGACCATCACTTAGGGCCTTCCTGAAGAGGTATCACTCTCCTGTAAGCGTGTGCATCCTCCTTCTTTTGAATCTTTCATTAGATTCTCATGGACCTGTTCCTAACTTTCTGTCCAATGCTCATCTCTGCAGATAATTTTTCTCAACAAAGAGTCAAAAAAGAAGATGCTAAGTGGTTCAGTTTTCCAAATTGTGAATGGATTATTGAATTGCATTTGCCACTTTCTTGCCCAAGAGAGATACTGTAATATTGTGCTAATATTTATAAAGCACTTGGAGCTCCAAATATGAAAAGCACCTTATGAAATATTGATGACCCATCTATTCCATACACCTTAACTCTGTTTAGCCAAGAGATTTTCTTCCTGTGTGTTCTAAGACAGTATTATTTCTAAAGAGATAAGCTTCCTTATAATAGTTATAAATTCATACTAAATTTACAAACAAATTGTATATAATAGTTTCTTCCCAAGTTTTCCCAAGCACTTTATCATAAAACAATGAAACTAGAGAAATCTGGATATGAAAACTAACCCAACTCTCTATAGCTGGCAGAACTATTCTCAAATCATTTCAGAATGAGATTAATAAATATTCTTTCAAAATATTTTTTTGTTTCAGTAAAAAGCAAATATTTTTTCCTTAAGTATAAAAAGTGTCCTGAAGTGCTACTGTATAGTAGAAAGGATGACATTTTACAGATTCTGGGCACAGAGGAAGTAAATTTGAAAGGAAGCAAAATATATCATGCTTGTGTTTTCAAAATGAACAATTCCACATGTTATAATGAAGTATGAAACATTAAACTATTAATTTATTATTCCATAACAAACCAAGTTTGGAAAGCCCAAGGAAAGGAGAAACTTATCTCTTTAGAAATAATACTGTCTTAGGCTGGGTGCAGTGGCTCATGCACGTAATCCCAGCACTTTGGGAGGCTGAGGCGGGTAGATCACCGGAAGTCAGGAGTTTGAGACCAGCCTGGCCAACATGATGAAACCCTGTCTCTACCGAAAATACAAAAATTAGCTTGGCATGGTGGCAGGCATCTGTAGTCCCAGCTACTAGGGATGATAAGGTGGGAGAATCATCTGAACCCGGGAGGCAGTACTTGCAGTGAGCCGAGATCACACTATGGCACTCCAACCTGGGCAACACAGCAAGACTTTGTCTAAAAAAAAAATACTGTCTTAGAACACAGAGGAGGGAAATCTCTTGACTAAACAGAGTTAAGGGTTTTAAAGCACTGGGTTTTAAACACAATGCTATAGGGTACTTTGAAGAACTCTCCACAGTCAATAATATAGATCTTGTGCTCGCAGAGCCTGGAAGACGGGTTAGTATATGTAACACCAACTGTCCATGTTGCCTGCATTTAAAGCTGCTTGGTCATCTAAATTTAAATAGTAATTAATAGAAAAATTGAGGGCACATAATGGATAGGAAATAATTGAGAATTGTGTCATCTCATGCCTGTGGCTACTCGAAAGGATATGTGGCATTCTCCCTGTGCTATACTTTTTCTATAAAATACATAATCAACCACTAAAGAATGAGATCGTAACAGTGATCAAATAATAAAAGAAATGCTTTACATATGCTTTGACGTGTACAATACCCCCTTTTCCAAACTGTTGTACCCAGAACACTGCTCCCATGAGACATCCCTTGGATAAAGGAATTTGGAAAACCTTGCTTGCAATCCATCCATCACGGGCTCAAACACTTTGTGTAATTTAGCAAAAGGCACTACTTCCTCAGTCACTTTACTGCCAACTTCCAGAAAAAATGCCATCATACCCCTGAGCTTCAGCAACAGTGTGGTGAGGGGCATCCTGGGATGATCTATGCAACCTTTCATAACTGCACATCAGGAAATTTCAAGATTCATGATGGTGACTCATAATGGACACCCCAGGGTCTGAGAGACCTTTCCATAAAACGTCCATTTCCATGTGCTTAATTTCTTATTTCCCAAACTTACTTAATGAAGAGTCCACTTTTCTGTTTAACCCTTACAGTGACTTGTGAAAACTTGGCATTTGGAGAATGCCCTTATTTGGAGAATCTCAATCACTAGAGCAGCAACACCCTTGGAAAATTAATTAATAAAGATCCTTTGGACATTGAGTGTGGCTGAAAATAGCAAGAAAGCCAAAAGTAGCCCAGCATTCGACATACATATTAGTTTCTCTAAGTTAAGAGAGAAGGAATCTCACTGGCAGAAAGAGGATATACAATTAAGTCACCCTTCAGGGAAGGATGAGACAGGCAGGACAAATGGTATGGATGGAAATAAGAAG
Organism: Homo sapiens; assembly: GCF_000001405.40. Lineage (NCBI taxonomy): Eukaryota > Metazoa > Chordata > Mammalia > Primates > Hominidae > Homo > Homo sapiens. Next base: position 107,562,915 of record NC_000002.12, read on the forward strand.
TGCAAGCAAATAACAAAAAGGGGTGTGTGGAGAAGTGACAGGGAAGAGAAGATGGAAAAAGCAAAGCAAGAGCAGAAAGGAGGGACAGTGGAAGTGAAAGTGGTTAGGAGAGAAAACGGTGAGTGAAGCTGCTAGTCCTGGCAGGGCAAGAAATCATAGTTGAGGAAAAGAGCACTGCCTATGAAAGAAAAAGACAAAATTAACTAAGTAACAGAAAGCAATCAACGATCACAGCTCTGCACATTGGAGCTAATAGCACTGGGTACCTGTGTCATACCTATGAGCATTACTGTGCCCCATTGGTGAACATGAGAGTGACTACTTATCCCTGTTTTCCTGGGAAAAATTCAGTCTTGGCACTGAAAGAATTGTATTCCAGGAAATCAAAAGTAGTGGCAAACCAGGACAGCTGGTCACCCCAGTTAGCACTGACTCAAAATAGCAATGTGTCCGGGGGTGGTCTCTAATGCATCCCCTTAGTGGTAGTTGGAGTTATCACTGTTTCACATCAGCCACATACACAGCTCAGGAAACTTTAAAGCCTGTGGTGACAGTAAGTGAAATTTCTTTCTTTCAATAGTCTGTGAAGGAGGTACAATGCTTTAGAACTTAGTCCATAAATCAAAGCTGACAATGATGCTTTTATGTCCATTAAATGGTTAACATTCTCCCTGTGTCCTATTGTAACAGGGTATTGTGTTTTGAGGGAAAAATCAATAAAAAATGCTTAAGATAAAGTTTTCATGCTCATAATGTGTTTGTCTTCAGTTATAAGAAAATGAATCTATATAGGCAGGTAAATTTCCTGATGCTGTTGCACAAGGAACGTTATGCTATGAATATATAATGTTCATATATACTGATGAATTTCCAATTCAACTTTCTAGTTATGTTTTAAAGCTGAACACTAAGATTGATTTGCATTCCTTGATCACTCAACAATTCAGCTCTTGGGGTGATAGCCCATCTGCATGCTACGTGATATGGAGAAGTTTGGCTAGATTGACAATATGCCACAGATAACCCATCATGGGGAATCACTTTTCAGTGTTTTAGACCTAGAAAAGATTTATGTGTGAATCTGAAGGTGTTCTGCCATGCCTGAAAGCAATAAGGAGAAAAGGGCACCATGGGCAGAATGGATGTGATTTGTTTCTTGGGTCACTGGGCACAAGGCAGAAAGCACTGCTTCTTCTTCTTGGGAGGAGTGACACTGAGATATAGCCTCATCTCCTACATCCAATCTTGCTTTGCTTAGATAAGGAAGAAATCCCAGCCTGGGGAAAAACCACGAGCCACTTCTCTGTGCCTCCTGTGAGGCAGATAAAAAGGGGTCAATGACGGGTGAATGTCAGTCATACAACAGCCAGCTGAGCAGTTTCCAGTTTCCAGAAGTCAGCCTTGAGGCATTATTGCACAGCAAGAATATGGTGCACCTGAGAAGGTAGCTATTATATACCCAGTGCGGTCTCATGGCTACTTACATTCTACAGCCAGCCATGCATTCACCATTTTCAGTGCCTTTTCTTTCATTCCTCAGCTTTTTTCCAGTGATTGATTTGGAGGGAAAATTCTAAGACTATGGGGAAAACGGTTAGCAATTTGGATAGTCCTACTAGCACAGAATTAGCTTTCAATGAAATCCTGGAGAGCACCCTTTTAACTTTTCATATGAAAATAACATTTAATGTCTTTAATTTAAAATTATATGATAAAATATATTTTAATTATCAATAGCTCATGTATAAACAATAAACGATATACAACCAAAATAATTATAAAGATGAGAATATAAATTATTCACAACCCCATCACTCATAGATAACCACTGCTATCAAGAAAACATGTTCAAGTATTCTAGTCAAGTCTTCTTTTGCACTTATTGTGTTTTTTACAGAATATGTAATTACTACAGCTTTGCAGAACATTTAGAGAAAACAGCAAAACAATAAAATAAAATCATCATAACCCAATCACCCAAAGATAATTATTTTCAACAACTTGTTTATATTGTTTTTGTCACCCACTCATAAATACACACTCTGTGTTATTTAGTTTTACAAAATTAAAATTATAGTATCCATTGTTTTGTAGTTAGCTCCTTTTACATATTAACTATCCCACACTTTAGTCTTCTTTAGGGAGTTTGGCAGTATCCAAGACAATAATTGATTTTATACTTTATTGCTTTCATAAAAGAGGCTGAATTTATTCCAGGTTATCAGAAAATACATTAGTGATTTAAATACATACAGTGATACAGTGATTTTTAATATCAGTGACAACTTTTAGCAATCCATTCTTTCCTTTTGCATTTATCAGTACCTACTAAGTTGGGGAATAGGCATGTAAAATATATATATATAATATAAATCTATAAAGTATATATAAATAAAAATATATATAATATATACATATATAAAATAAAAATATTTTAAATAAAAAATAAAAATATATATATAATATATAAAAATATATAAATATATATATATACACACATATAATTTTAATTAAGTTTTTGTCTTTTAGGGACAAAGTTTTACTCTGTCACCCAGGCTGGAGTGCAGTGGCATAATCATAGCACACTACAGCCTCCAACTCCTAGGCTCACATGGTCTTCCTGCTTCAGGCTCCTGAGTAGATAGGACTATAGGTGCATGCCACCATGCACAACTAACTTTTTATTTTAATTTTTTGTAGAGATGGAGTCTTGCTCAATGGACAACATATTGCCCAAACTGGTCTCAAATTCCTGGCCCCAAACTATCTACCCACCGGAACCTGCCAAACTGCTGGGATTACAGGCATGAGCCACCTTGTCCTGCCATTAGTAGGTTCAGATTATAACTCAGGAGGCAGAATCATGAGACTAATGGAATATTTATAACTGGGGAAGGGAGTGGGCAGGCTGGTGAGCACCCTGGGAGGAGGAACTGGGGAAAGGGGTTTCTAACATCAGTGATTAAAACCAAATCTCCAACTAAGTAGATATGTTGTAAAGACAGAAAAAGGAATTCACCCCTTTCCCAACTCAAAACAACTCTTTAAAACACATTAATTGACATTCTGTGGAGAGAAGGGTCATCCAGGCTGCCAGTGCAGGTGCTGCCTTTTGCTTCTGCTCTTTTAAAAAGCCATCGAGGGGCCAGGCGCGGTGGCTCACACCTGTATTCCCAGCACTTTGGGAGGCTGAGGCGGGTGGATCACGAGGTCAAGAGATGGAGACCATCCTGGCCTGGCCAACATGGTGAAACCTTGTCTCTACTAAAAATACAAAAATTAGCTGGGCATGGTGGCATGTGCCTGTAGTCCCAGCTACTTGGGAGGCTGAGGCAGGAGAATTGTTTGAAACTGGGAGGCAAAGGTTGCAGTGAGCTAAGATGGTGCCACTGCACTCCAGCCTGGCGACAGACCAAGACTCCATCAAAAAAAAAAAAAAAAAAAAGCCATCCAAAAGAGACAGTGTAATCAGATATGGGTTTCAGAAAGAATCCTATGGCAGTGGTGTGGCCAATGGCAGTGCAAAATGTTAACTACAGGAGATCGGTTAGAAGACTTGTTTTACTATGGTCTAGGCAAGAGTAGATGAGGAATTGGCCAGGCAGAGAAAATGAGAATGAAGAACGATTTGAATAACATTTAGGATCTTGAAAAGATAGAGACTGACGCCTGACTAGCTGTGTACAAACAGAAGAGCTGGATAGATGATTGTAACATTAGTCAACACAGGGAGCAAACGAATTTTTGTTATTGGGGATCGAAATGGTGAGATGGAATAGATTCACTTTTATACCAATGGATTTTGAGCTATAAATTTGGCACAAGAGATAGAATAGAGGTAGAGACACAGCTTTAAGAGCCATTAGTATATAAGTGGTATTTAAAGCCAGAGAGTAGAAGAGATGACTAAGGAGCTACAGAAAAGAGTGGATGATGGAACCCTGGAGAGATAAATGCGAATTTTCAGGAAGATGATGGAGACTTGGAGGAAAGGAAAAAGAAAAAAATGATGTCACAACATCTAAAAAAGGTCAAAGATAGGAGGATTAACAGCTTCAAATATGCAAAAAGGCTATGAATAATGATTGAACATGTTCATGCTGTTAAGTCTCATAGAAGTCAGCGGAGAGCTTTGCAAAAGTCATTCCTGTAGTGTTGAGAGGAAGCACCAAAATTCCATGTTTTCAGAAATCAATAGATGTTGAAACATTGGAATCAGTCAATATACCAAATCCTTTGAATAATTTTAGCTATTAAAAGAAGAGACCAGATCGCAATTAAAATAAACACATGCACATCATGAGTGATTTTTTTAAAGATGTGAAATAAGCTTGTAATATAAAGAAAAACCAGAGGTGATGGAAAGTAGAGACATGGGAAGCAAAATGAATAACTGATGGACTGAGCGATTTCCAGAGCATAATCAGGTATCATAATTGCAATTTATGATTGACAGGTGGAGAAAACTCTCTAAGATAGGATAGAGGGTGGTAAGAATGGGTCATGTAGATCTATTTGGAAGTGAGCAGATAAGGATATGACAAACTGAGTGAATTTACAGTCCCTGTTTTCTCTATAATAGATTAGGTGAGGATTAATGTTTAAGAAAGAATTGGGTAGCAGGATTGCATAGGGAATGGGAAGGACTTTGGCTGATGTTTATAACAATAAACCTACAGTATCCAATCAACATGGCCTGAAATTAGCCACTCTAATTTGAGAGTCAAATAAATATTCTAAGAGAGGACATAAGGCAATTATTTTTATTTTAGCATGTCTTCTTTACATTTGATATTCTTTCATACTTTGAGAGGATAGTTATTCAACATGTATTATGTACTTAGTGTTCTATTAGTTCCTGGACACATATATATATATATATATATTTTTAAGCACACTTTCACAGGCACTCTACAATATCATTAGTTTCACAAATATCACTTTCACAGGGATTCTACAATATCATTAGTTTCATAAATATCACTTTTGATGGTGTATTGTCCTTCATCAACACTCCTGGTAATATCCATAGTCACTTCAAGATAATGCAAAGCACCCAAATCTTTGTTAGAACAAAACACAAAATGTGTTTTAAAGTGTCATCTCAGCATCCAGTTTCTTGACTTATTTATTTTGGAATAATCAGAGCTCCCTCTCCGCCACAGTGACTGAGGTGGTGATGAAACCCTGACACAATGTAATACTCTGTACTCATGTAGAACCTTTGTTTTTGGATTTAGAGTGCCAGTGTATCTCCTTGGAAGAAATGTGGGGCCAGATTCATTATGCAGTGACTTTCATGATAATGGAGTAGCTACTCCACACTCTGGAATGAACATGACTTGGATAAGTAGGTGAAATAAGGGTGTCTTTAATAGTAGAAGCTCAAATAAGGCAGACAATGCTAGCCACAGCATCCCAAATCAAAGTGAGGGTGTGAGTCTTCCAGGCAATTAGACTACAGATCTCCATTCTGGAAACAACAAAGATCATGGTGAAAAATGAGTCATGGTGGATGGGTAGCACCAGTTCTCAGGAGAGCCCCTTAGCTTGTGGGTTGTTTCTAAGTCATCAAGGTACTTAGTTTTCACAGGTGCATAAATGCATTGTGTGTGGCCCTGGGGGCTGGCACCACTTACCCCTAAATTCCACAGTGACATTAAATATGTACTCCCCGGGGACTGTGGGTGAGCTTAGGGTAGTGGTATCAATAAGCCTGTCTCATTTCTCCTGGTAGCAAGAAAAGATGATTTTCCTAGGTTAAGCATGCCACTCAGTGATCCTAGAACTTACACAGTGGCTGGCCTCTCTGTGACACCTTTTAGTTCTCCTTTGCTCTCTTGGCAACCATAAAGCAGAGTGTGTGCAGGGACCTAGGGCTGGGTCCTGGTTTTATGTAGCATCCATGAGTAAGGGAGGACAAGACATGAAGCTGGATGGTAAAAACATAATGGGGAATTCCAAGTGGTACTTTCATCCTTATCCAAAGGCCTTTGGGTTAAAAGACATGAGTAGCTTCTAGTTTCTGGTGCAGTTTAAGTAGAATGCTCCTTATGTAGAACTAAATCCAGTGCTGCGTGTGTCCACAGCATCCCTTGGAACTGGTAAGACACCACACAGGCTGTGTTCTGGGGCATGGGGTAGACAAACTTGTCTGGAAGAGGACAATCTCACTCAGCTTCCTGGCAAACTCAAGGTAAGGACACTGTTCACTTGGGGTTCCCCTGGCCATCCCAGTTTCCTTTTCCAACAGCAAATGTCCCTGGAAGTGGCTACTTTGCCATCCTGATTCTGAGAGGAGGGGATATGTGAAGACCCACAATCCGGAGTCTCAGGCGAAAGAGTAATTCTCTTTTTAACACTATCCTCCAGATGGGTGCCTTGCCTCTCTCCTTCCCACAGGCTGCCATCCTTTCCCTTCAACATTGCATCATGCCTTCCTACCAGCCCCTGATGCCTGCCCTTGTAGAATCCTTGCAGGACCCAGGATTCAAGTTATGGACAGTCTCCAAATCCAGGGCCTGCAGCCCCACAAAAGCCCAGAGAGTAAAAAGCAAAGTGCCAGCTTCTTACCGAGGGAGACTTTCTGCCCTCACAGGGTCATTCCCCATGCTAGATCCTCCTGGGCTGGTGTCCTATATGCCCCTTCTTTGTGCACTTGACCTTGCCCTGTTTCCCTAATGTGCTGTGTTCATGCTGTGTTCTGTCTCAGACTCCCTCTGCCTGGATCATGCAGGCTCCTCTGTGCTGAAGATAAGCAACACTACTTTGTAAATTGGTGCTAAGCTGAGCTGCCCTTTCCCAGGCTATATTTGACCCCTTTCAGGTTAGCGCCTTCCCTAGAGAAAGCTAACTAAGTGTTTTGACTTAAAAGATCTCCTGCTGGGTCACAGGCCAAATAGTAGTGAGTAAAAGTAAGCAAAAGCTAGTGAATAGTGTTAAAAAGATTTTTCAACTATTCTGCTTAATTGTGTTTAAAAGGTCTGGCAGTTCTTTCCCCACAAGAATCTGTAAAGTGAATGAACCACCCATTAGTGGTCAGTTGCTGTGGGCAGGGGTTGGGGGAGCTGTTTCACTGCATCAAATACGTAGGCCAAGGGCAGATGCTCTAAAAACGTGAAATACAATAGAATAAAATAAATTTGTATAAATAGAATTATAAAAATATGTAACTCTAAAAAATGAAAATAAATATATACATAAAATAATATGTGTACATACATAAATAAAAAGTCAACCACTTTTCAGCACACACAACTGAAAGTACTATTTGAGTCTAAAAGGCCGCTGTGAAACCTTTGGCAGAGTAAAGAAAACTTGTTTAAAATTCCTGGTAGAAACACTTAAAAATATGTTGGAAACTAGAGGACAAGGAGAAGATCTAAGTTAAGGAAGAAGAAGACAGTTGCATTGCAGATCCCGAGTTACGGGCTGTGGGCTTTCTCTTGCAGCATGGAGGGCCCTTCTCCCGGATGGTGCTGTGAGTGTCCACATGGTTCACCGCTGGGGAGCCCATTCTGTTGAAAGAATCCATATCTGTCAGGATTGCTCGGTGGCCCTACTCACAAGGTATCTTTTCCCCAAAGTTTCCAGGTCTACTTGATTTCACGTCAAAGTGGCATTGCTTCTGTGGGGTGCCTTCTGACACCAACAAGCAAGTCCCCATCCCTCCAGGCACCAACTGAATATCCAACGATGTGTTCAATCTGGACACTACCCAGAATACACATCAAACTCCACAGGTTGAAGGGCTCCATTCCCAGATGTCTGACTCTGTTTCACATGCTAGTCACAAGTACCTGGCCACTCACACTTCTGAATGACTGACTATATATCGGGATTCCCATAATCCCTTGCTCAGTTTTGATCATTTACTAGAGTGTCTCACAAAACTCAGAAAGACATTTTACTGATTTATGAAAAAGGATACAGATAAACAGGTATATAGGGTAAGGTCCAGAAAAGACCTGGGCACAAGAGCTTCTGTCCTTGTGGAGTTGGGGTGGCCCACTCTCCTAGCAAGTAACTGTGTTCACCTATTTGAAAGCTCTTCAAATCTTGTTATTCAGTAATTTTGATAGTTTAATCGCCAGCCTTCTGCTCCTTCCTGGAGGTAAATGGGTGGGGCTGAAACTTCTGGCTCATTCTGGTGACCAGCCTTATCCTGAGGCAATTTAGGGGCCCAACTCTGAGTCACACTATTAGTATAAATTATAACATCACACCTCAGGTGTGATCCAAAGGGGAACCTTAGGAATAATTAGACTTTCCTGTCACTCAGGAAATTCCAAGGGTTGTAGGAGATCTGTACCAAGAACCCTGGACAAAGACCAAATATATTTCTTTTTATGCCCCAGCATCTATAGTGCCTTCTTGCAGAGCATGGTGTGAGGGTGGGCAGAGGGACAGGCTTCCTGGGCAATAGCCAAATCCTATGCCTTACCATGCTTGGACAAGCAGTGTCCGGGGCACACTTGTAGAAATGGGAACACTGATCAGATCAAGATTATTTATTATAAGTAAATTGGAGAGTGACATGCTATAAGCATGATCTTGCTTCTTAAATTTTAACCATAAGTACCTGCTTTAATAAACAAAAAGGTAACGGTCAGCTTTTAGTAAGGCCGGCAGCCTCCATGGTTATATCATTCTTTTCAGGCCTTTCATAAAGATAAACTTGAAAAAATCAGTTTGCTAAGGAGGCAGCATTAAAAGTTTTTTAAATGCCACTTCAAAACTTCAGTTGTTAAGCTTTTAAAACTGCAGGCATAATTAATAAGAAAATGTAAGGACATTCTATTTTATAAGATTTTAAGATATGTTCCTCAGACAAAAGCTTCCTGAAGTATAAAAAATACACATATTCACTTTGGAATGCTTCTAGCCTCACGTCAAGGTTGTTTGATTTCTAGAAGTTTCCTGTCATTAACAATAAAACACTGAATCCTTCTAAGAGGGGTTACTGAAGGAGTTCTTAAGGTATTGGGTCTTAATTTGATTGTGTTTTCTATTGCAGAACATACTCAAGGTCAAGCTCCTGTTAATAGGTTTTAAAATCTCTTCTACCCACTTAACTCTGAAACATTAGCCTGAATGACTACACTCCTTAAGAATATTTGCATCGGTTTACTATGGCTAACTGGATTCTTCTTTGCTCTGAACAAAAGACCTGAGACAGTCCTGTAGGCGCTCCTCATGCAGGCAGCTTTGGCTGTCCTCCGATACAGAGACTTGCCTCTCTCCAAAAGCAACTGCAGCAAAAACCTTGCTGAGAGGAGTCTTGTGGGTAGGAGAAAGTGGGGCAGAATGTCACTGGTTATGATTTAGGAGTGATGTAAAGGAAAGGAACTGTAGATAAAATGTGTGGGGCTTTCTGGAACAGGCTCTCCCTGCTTTCTCTCCCTGAACTGGAGGAGGTGATCCTGAGATGTTGACTCCCAGCCCCTGACCCTGTGTTTAAAATCCTACAGGTGTCCCACGTTGCTGAGAGAAAACAGGACACAAGCTCCCGGGCACACGCTTAGCAGATGTGGAGCCAGGACGAGGTGCTGGGCTGCCCATAACGCTACACACACTTTTGACAGAAAAAGAGTGCCTTTCTATTTTAAATTTAAAGGTGTGCCAGCCTAACACACAGCCTCATCTTGGCCTCTGCGCCCTGCATGCAGTTCACAAAGCCCACTGTTGGCCACAGGCACAGTATCCTCAAATGTTAAAATGGCCTGAATGACTAAAAATAAATATATTCTCTAAAACTGGAACATGGAAAGTGTGTGGGAGGCAGTTTGCCCTTGAAGATTTTGTGGAAGGACTTTAGGGGATGTGGGCAGCAAGCCACCCAGGCACGGAGGCAAGAGACAGAGGACATGAGCTGTTCCAATATAATAAAATATAAAACAAGAATAGTTATACCAGATATAGATCTTAGATATGATTATGTATGAATATCATTAATCATTAGTTTGTAGCAATTACTTTTTATTCCAATATTATGATAATCCTCGCTCTATAATCATAGCCTAGGAAAAACCAGGCCATACAGAGATAGGAGCTGAGGGGACATAGTGAGGTGTGACCAGAAGACAAGAGTGCAAGCCTTCTGTTATGCCCAGACAGGGCCACCAGAGGGCTCCTTGGTCTAGTGATGACGCCAAAGTCTGGGAAGACGCCCGTTACCAGGCGGATCGTAGTCCAGCGGTAGCAAAAGGTGTCAAGGAACAACACGCGCTACTTAGTAGACGGGGAAGGTGGGGGGGGTCTCCCTTTCCCCGGGGGAGTTTAGAGAAGACTCTGCTCCTCCACCTCTTGTGGAGGGCCTGACATCAGTCAGGCTCACCCGCAGTTATCTGGAGGCCTAACCGTCTCCCTGTGATGCTGTGCTTCAGTGGTCACACTCCTAGTCTGCCTTCATGTTCCATCCTGTACACTTGGCTCTGCCTTCTAGATAGCAGTAGTAAATTAGTGAAAATACTAATAGTCCCTGATATGCAGAAATAATGGCATAAGCTGTCTTTCTCTCTGTCTCCTCTCCCTCTCTGCCTCGGTTGCCAGGCAGGGAAGGGCCCCCTGTCCAGTGGACACGTGACCGACGTAACCTTACCTATCATTGGAGGTGACTCACATTCTTTACCCTGCCCCTTCTGCCTTGTATCCAATAAATAACAGCGCAGCCAGACATTCGAGGCCACTACCGGTCTCCGTGCATTGGTGGTAGTGGTCCCCTGGGCCCAGCTGCCTTTTCTCTTATCTCTTTGCCTTGTGTCTTTATTTCTACACTCTCTCGTCACGGCACACAGAGAGAGACCCCCCGAACCTGTGGGGCTGGTCCCTACAAGGGGATTTTAGAGATTGGTTTTGAAGATGACAAAGACTTCTTCACTGACTTGTGTGACAACAGCATCCTAGACTCAAGGTCAGCAAATGTAAAAGAGGGAAAACGAAATCTAATCTGTACTGACTTGAACCATTAGAAATGACCAGCTTTGTAGATCGAAGACAGTCAAATATTGGCAATTTCACATGGCTCGGCTCATCAGAAGAGTGATTTAGGTTATAGATTATAGTGATGTAGGCCAGACCAAAAATGAGGAACATCTCAGTCAAACCCAGCACTGTGAGGTGTTGGCAGGAAATGAGAATGTTCCTGGGGGCAGTGGAGACAGGCTGGGCTCCTCCCCAGACAGTTTTTGTTTCAGGAAGAGTGGCAGAAAAGAGAAAACTTACTAAAGCTCTGAGGGATATGATTTTCAGGAAATTCTCCCTCTAAGTGCTGTGTAATGTCCCTGGGGTTACAGCTATTTGGAAACTGAGGATTTACCTTCAATCTTTAACAAGCAATCGAATTTAGCATGGGAATTCACCCTGATTTGGAAGTGATGATTTGGAAGTGATAAGAAGGTTCCAATGTAAGTGTTTGTTTGTTTTTTCTGAGATGGAGTCTCGCTGTGTCCCCCAGGCTGGAGTGCAGTGGTGCCATCTCTGCTCACTGCAAGCTCCGCCTCCCGGGTTCATGCCATTCTCCCGCCTCAGCCTCCCAGGTAGCTAGGACTACAGGCGCCCGCCACTACGCCCAGCTAATTTTGTGTGTGTGTGTTTTTTTTTTTTTTGAGACGGAGTCTCGCTCTGTCGTCCAGGACAGACTGCAGTGGTGCTATCTCGGCTCACTGCAAGCTCCGCCTCCCGGGTTCATGCCATTCTCCTGCCTCAGCCTCCTGAGTAACTGGGACTACAGGCGACCACCACCACGCCCGGGTAATTTTTTGTATTTTTAGTAGAGACGGGGTTTCACCGTGTTAGCCAGGATGGTCTCGATCTCCTGACCTCGTGATCTGCCTGCCTCGGCCTCCCAAAGTGCTGGGATTACAGGCGTGAGCCACCGCACCTGGCCAAGTGTTTGTTTGTTTGTTTGTTTTCCTTTGGGGTAACTGCATATGGAAAGGTGACATTTCTGATTGCATCTCTACCAAACAAGTTCAGGTGGCTGCCATCCCCACACTTGAGGGGCCCATGCTGTGCTGCCAGTGGGCCAGTGAGCTTCTACATGCCCACAAATGAGAAAATAAGCAGACCAGTTCTGCAGCAGCTGCCGGCCTGCTGGGTACTGAGAAGACCCGTTAAGTAGGGTCCCACAGTAGGATTCTATTTTACTCATTATAAATTCATAGTACGTGGGGCTTACTGTGCTTTCATGCTGATGCTAGCTGTCTGTTGGTCAGAGCTTTTTAACTCTGCTCCATTGCCTTCGTGGTGCAGCCTAACTGCAGGCCACTGCTTGTTATGACAGGGTTTTCTGTTTGTTTGTTTTTAAAGCAAAACGCAGCCTCAGTAACTACAAAGTAAGTTTTTAAACCAGCCTATTCTTGCATGTGTCATGGTTATCAGTTAAATGTCGTTTCTTTTCTTTCAGAAGCTAGTTATTGACTTTACAAATCTTAGAAAATATTTACTAATGAAACCAGTATAAACAGTGCCGTAAGGGTTTGAAGCGTCCTTCAGTATTCATTTCACCTTCTGGCATGAGGGTCCAATCATTCACTCTAAAATCAGATGGCCAAGGTGTAAACCCGGGTGAAGCACTTTATAGCTCTAAGCCTCAGTTTTCTCATAAGTCAATGGGAATAATAATATGTACTTAAATAAATATTTGATAAAAGTGATATGAGAGTGGGGTAGGGAAGTGCTGGGTAGAGAAAGGTGGGTCCCTGGCTAAGACTCCACCCTCGGGCCAGTGCCCACAGACCTAGATGAGGACAGGCACTTCTGCTTTCACACCCAAATGTTGCATTTTCCAAGACTACCTTGGCCCGCCATGCCCCTATCCTGGGCCTGTAAAAACCCGAGACCCTAGCAGGCAGACACACAAGCGGCTGGACATCAAGAGGACATTGAGGGGAGCATGCCAGTGGAAGAGCACACAGACAGACGCCAGCAGGCCATCAACCAGCAGAACTATATGGAGTTTGGCTGGGGCAGTTGGAGGATAGCCGAGGTCAACGAGCAGCCTGACTCCAGGGGAAACCCATCTCCCTTCTGGCTTCCCCATCTGCTGAGAGCTACTTCCACTCAATAAAACCTTGCACTCATTTTCTAAGGCCACGTGTGATCTGATTCTTCTGGTACATGAAGGCAAGCACCCAGGATACAGAAAGCCCACTGTCCTTATGACAAGGTAGAGGGTCTAATTGAGCTGGTTAACACAAGCCACCTATAAACAGCTAAACTAAAAGAGTGCCATGTAACACACGCCCACTGGGGCTTCAGGAGCTGTAAACATCCACCCCTAGACACCGCCATGTGGTTAGAGCCCCACAGCCTGCCTGTCTGTATGCTCCCCTAGAGGTTTGAGCAGCGGGGCACTGAAGAAGTGAGCCACTCTCCCTGTCACATGCCCTGCGAGGGGGACAAGGGAACCTTTCCCGTTTCAAGGGTACTAAATGATAGACTTCAATAAACAGCACTCAGTAAATGCTAGCTATCATTACCACTATTATAATCATTATTGCTATTATTAATCCTGATTCCAAAAGAACTTCCCTATAAATTCCAGTTTATATATTGCTGTGGAATCTCAGCTAAGTGGATTCTTTTTCACAGTACAGTACCATCAGAGGTGGGTGACTAGTAATTGTGACAGTGACTTACTCCCACTAACATTATGTGGGCAGCAGCAATGCACGGAGGACAGAATAAAACATCTCACTGTCTCCAGAACCTTTCAACTAACACTAAAACAATTCATCTGTCCACCAAGTGTTATTACATAGTGTTTGATTTTGGTCTCTGGTATTTTTAATTTTTAATGGTAAAGAATTCTGCTAATAATGTGATTTCACTATCTTGCGCTTTTTGTTTGGTATAGTTTCCTTGCTAGAATCCATAGCGATGAAAACCTCTAACCTCAAGAGTAGAAATAGAAACAAAGAGAAATAATTTTCCTTGGTCGGCTCTCTACATGGATGGCAGAACACCAGATACCTGTTTAAAAACCAGTGATGCCTCCTGAGGTCTAGCAGAAGGAAGAGAGACAGGAGGAAAGAAGACAAGCTCAGTGTCTGAATATCTCCTTTTGTTAAATCCTCCACTGTCATTTAATTATGATCAAACTAGCTGGCATTAAACTTCAAAATAAAGCAGAATCACACAGCTTCTTTAATTTGGCACTTAGATGCTCCAGGGACCGCACAACTCTGACGTCCGCAGAGCTGGTAAGCCTGCGCCATGCCTTGCTGGCTTTTCCTGTGACCTGTAGCGTTTCTATTGTGCTTCCTGACCTCCAGGTCTGTAATCCAGGTGCCCTCCTTTGTCTCTGTTCTGACCAGCTCAGCCCCTAAGCCTCAGTGAGACAGTGGGGACTAAAGGCATCTAAAACTGAAGCTGCTTTCAGTAGTTGATCATCTTACCTACTTCACTGAACTTGATTTATTTTAGCAGAATCTGTCTTCATTTTTTTCTACTCAGCATGAAGCATTTGAATTTCACCCCTCACCTCTTTCAGTCCTATTTTTTAATATATTTCCTGATTATTATAATGCTTATCATCCATTGCTTTTTGACAAGGTGACTCTTGAACCATCCCCAGTGGAAAGGAGCGTGGTCCCTATTTTAGAAATCCCTGGAGTCAAGGCTATTTGAGGAGCCCTTTCAAGAGACTAAAAAGTTGTCCCACTAGGAAAAAAAATTTTTCTCCAGTCTGAGTTCTGAATACTTTAAATGCTACTGATTATTCCTCCAAATTGAGAGCTTCTCCTGCATATTTGAAATATATTAGTTCATTCAACAAATAATGAGCGATCACAGCAAACAATTTAGTCCTGGAATTCAGCTTCCAATTGTTTTCCTTTTCTGCCCAAATTTCAATATCTTAATTAGAGTTGCCAGAGTTACCAAATAAAAATACTGGAATGCCCAGTTAAATTTGATTTTCAAATAAACATCAAATAAAAGTGAAGTAGAAGTATGTCCCGTGCAGTATTTGGAATATATTGCTATTAAACAATTATCTAAATGTATCACTTTAACTGATCATCCTGTGTTTTACCAGGCAACCTGTAATATTTTTGATCACCTTAAAACCAAATTTGAATGTTTTTCCAGACTAAACCTTAATCCACATTTACATCAAGAAATAATTTTTGTTTGAACCACTTTCACCTTCCCACTAACCCAGATTTAAAATTGTTTTCTTGCTAGTTCTTTAATTATTTCTCACCTGGAACTTAAAAACAACAGATATCTTTTTGTTTTTTACAAACTGACTTATGAATGTGATTCAGCATAGAAAAGACAAATTCATCCTGTTCATTTAAAATATGTTCAGTCTTTGAGTATCTGCCTTCAATTCCTGTTGGTTTCTAACTTGACCTTTTTCTAGTTGTGTGGGGTAAATAGCAGAAGTACGTAACAGTGAAAAATGAATAGAGGAAAATGTGAAGTTAAATGTAAGGCAGATTCATACAGTACTTTCATTCGTCCATCACTATTCTTCTATGAGATTCCTATGGTCTGATATAGTGAACCCAGGATCAAAGTGAGTTACTGAGCATTGATATAGTGAACCTGGGATCAAAGTGAGTTATTGAGCATCTTTGGGAAAATGCAAATTAGAGCGGGCAAACTGATTTTAGCACTTCAGATATACTAAATTAACTAGTACAATAAACTGCAGGAAAAAAAAGGTAGTTTTTCCCCCTTGGTTTATAACACTTAGTAGTAGCTTGTCATTCAACTGCACATTAGGTCATTTGCTGGGATATCTTTCTGCAGTGAATGATAAGCATAGCTAGTATTTAACCAAAGGCAAACTCATTTTCAAGAAGACAATCTTAAAACTACCGTGAAATACTTGGGAATAATGAAATAAAAATGATTTTCATAGATCTTTTATTTTATTGGAAGAAAATATCATTTAAGGAATATTTGAGAGTTGCTTCTAACACATCCACTATTTATATACAGGCACATATGTAAACAGACCGAAAGGGTCAGACATCAACAATCGCCATTTCCTCTTGACTTTGTGTGATGTCATTTAAGGTGGACCTTCTCTCTAATCTATTAGATTATAAAAAATGAACAGCATAGGCCTAGAAAATGTTGTTAAGGGTCAAGAAAGACTCAACGTTCTCATTAGCAAGAGCCTGTGAAAATATGAGAAAACTTCATCAGTGAGACACCTGGGCTACCAAGTACACAATTAGGAAGGACTTCTGTTATTGTATTTTCCTGAAAAGTTTTTGAAAAGTAGTTCATAATTTATTTTCCAGTATCTATTTTGGTCTCTTAATTAAGCGGGGAGATGCACTGGGTAGGAGAGAGCTGTCTAAACGTTTTCTTCAAACTCCATTTACAGCAGAGCAGCTTTTCAGAAGGCTGTTTGTGAGAACAAATACAACAGACTTTACAGTGGACAAATCTTGGTCGTGGTGTCTTTTGAAGGATGACTCAGCATAGGAAGACATTGTTAGAAAAATTGCTCCTTTCACAGTTATGGATAAGCAATTATTCTATTGAGTACATTATTAAAACAATAGCTTCATTTAATATGTTTCATAACTTACTGGAAAATTTTCCTTTAAAAAGCAACTCTATTGTTAAGGGATGAGTTTTCTAGGATAAAAGTTTTACTCCTGCTAAGGCAGTAACAAATAAAGAATCCAAGGACAACAAATCTGAACACAAACAGAAAAAGTATTGCACACTTATCTACATTTTTTCAATGTCATTGTGTGACTCCATGCCTCAATCATCTTAGCAGATGAATTCTTTTTGAAGAGACTGGATTGTGTGACCTGATTTGAGTATTAGTCTCTATGTTTAATAGCTGTTACTACCAGAAATGTCTCAACTCAAAGCAAAATATTGCATATTTTCATGTAGCCTGATTTCAATTTAATTTAATACAAGAACTGCATGCTTGCAGCGGGGGCTAGTACTATACCAGGTAGGGAAAATAGAGGTTGTAAGAGAGCGGAGATGACAGCACTACATGGAAGAAGATATACAGAGGTAATTAATGAGTATAATTAAATTGCAACATGCTCTAGGGCACAGGGAGAAATTATGATATTATTGCCCATAGCTCCTATTATATCATATTTGAGGAGAGTAAATCCTCAGATGATCCTTAAAGGAAGACTTACAGTCATCAGAAAGCACTTTAGAAAGGTGATTTAGGAGGGAAGATCAGGTGGTGAGGCTGGGGAAGAGTTGTTCACCATCTTCCATATTGGATGAGTGCTAAGTTGCTGCAATGAGCTCTTCAAAGTCAGGGACCTAACTTCTTCTCCTTTAGCCCAGTGCCTGACATCAGTAGGTGCACAATATGTATTTTTTTATACGAATGCATGGTGTAATCTGGGCCCCATTTCTATGAAGAGGACTGTTTAAAAGTTCATTCCTTTGAGTCAAGTCTTTGGCAACTTCAAGATATCCTTCTAAAATAAAGGCAGGACATCCTTTTGATTCTTCTCAGCATTCCATGTTTGATTGGGTATTAGTCTGCTTGCATATCTCTGGTAGAGCATAGGAAGAAAGGGGCAGGCTGTGGTTTCATGTTTTGCTGTATGCTTTTCTCATCTTCACAAAAAAACCTTGTAATACAGGCATTTTAATCTCCATTTTACAAATCAGAAATTAGTGGCTCAGAGATGTTAAATAAGTTGCCCATGACCATGGAGCTAGTAAATGATAAATCCAGGGAGTGATCATAAGCCTGTTTTGGCAGCTGTTATGCTTTTACTTTTTCCGTACTGCCTAGCACAAACCTGGCCTAGAGAGAGGTCTGGATGGGTATTTGAAAATCCCGTTGGTTGAGAATAGTCTAAAAGAGAATCGCAAGGTGTTTTAACCCAAAATCTGGCCATTGGTTTGCTCTCAACACCCACGTTTTGGCTGAATTAGTAGCCTACTAAAGCAGAGGGACTAGCAGAGGGCTTTGAAAGGCAAGCTCAGCTTCTTCTTCATGTTGCTTCAGGTTGGAGCTACTTGATACACATGCAAAACAAATACATTTCACCAAGGATGGCAGAAAATCTCATAGATTCTTTAGGCCCCAATGTTTCTGATGAGATGTTGGTCTCACACATACTAGGTCTCCAATCTTACACAGGGAGCATCAATGCCCCCGTTTTTCTCATATGTTAAATGGATTATAAAACAACAACACCTGAGATGATAGCTGGAATCCACCATAATAATGTATGTGATTATGCTTTATTATGTAAAGTGTTCCAGAAGTGTAAGGTGTTACTAATTACAACAAGAAATTTATCTGAACTAAATAACATCAGAATCGGGAAGCATGTCACCATATTTGTAGTTTTCTTCCAAAGAGACAGCCGAGCTTTGGGTGTCCTCTAGAAGGCCAATTCATTTTGAAAATGAGTAAGAGTTTTCCAGGCAGAAATGATCAACTCTTAACTTTCATCTAGAAGAGACTGAAAATACATATTCAGTAGTACTGAAGAGAAAAAAATTTTATTCAGGCCCTTCCCTTTTATAGACCCAAAAACTACCAAGCCGTTTCAATACCACTGGCTTCAAACTAACATTACACCAAGGTGTAAGGATTTTATTACATTGCTTTGAGTCGACATTTTCATCTGTATCTCAAAAATCCCTAATTCCATTTCTTCTCTAGACTCTCAAATGCACCCTGCAGCAGGCATGTGACCACCCACAGAGCTTTTGTTTATTACCTTGGATTTTAACTGAATTAGAATTCATGATCCTTACAGTCATTGAGGATCTTTTGGCAAGTCGATGTAAAATGCATTTAGATAATGACTGTGCTGTTCTGATGTTGGTTAGCTATTCATATAAGATGCAATTATTGTGTTTACTTCTTCATGCGATGAAAACCATTAATGGCAGCATCCAGTCATTAAGATAGGATATTACAGAAATTTTGAGATTATTTTCTGTTGCTGTTTTTTCATTCAGGTTTTAACACTCAGGGGAAAATGGAGCAGTGCTATTGATTCCTCCTCTTACAGGAGTCACCATAAACAAGTTCAAATTCCAATCTGTCAATATATTTCTCCCTATGAAAAGTTTCTTGCTACAGACGGCTCCAATAAAACCCCCCATCTATCTCTAGAAGGATGGCTTTGAGTTATTTAGCATATTATTAACTCCTTCTCAGGGTAATAGGTATCATTTGTTGACAAAATTGAACTCAACATCAAACATTTGAAAGAAAGGGGTAAAAGAGACAATATTGATATACATCAGGAAGATAATTTAATTTCTTATGTAACGATATCCTTTACCAAGGATATTGTTTCTTACATTCTATTTGGCAAATCACAGGTACTTGGAGAAAATTGGTAACTTTTTTTTCTTGCACAATCAGACATTAAATAGCTCATCTCTCCAAACATACTCTCAAGGACAATGAAAGCATTTTGATATTTCCTTACCCAAGGTGAATGACGGTGGAAACCACTTCAAATGAATCATCATATAATCAAACCTTAGATTTATTGAAGTACTGATTTTACACTGTGCATTTACAAACATACTGTGGTAAGTACACACAAAAAAATAATGCAGCTTCATGGTATTTGGTAGTGCTTTATTCATTAATTAACCCATCCATGCATTCAGTAAATATTTATGGAGAAATTGTTTTGAGTAACTATTTAAAATGGCAGAAGTGATATGAAGAAGGCATTTCTTGTCTCCCAGGAATTTACAATCAAGTTGAGTGATTGGCATGCAGATTTATAACCACAATCATATGATACAGTGATGCAAAGGAGGTATTATGAGCCTGAGGGTAGGGAAGCATTGCTTCCAGCACCAGCAAGAAGAGTATTCCTTTTGTCTAATATGACAAACAGAACAAAATCCTTTCTGATGGGTCATTTGTCTGACCTGAGTGGTCAGTGTCCTTGCAATATACTGTTAAATATTTTAAGGCCAGGGTAGTAATGTGAAAAAGCTTCTGAAGGGAGGAGATATCTTATTCATTCAACAACTATATTCTGAGCACCAACCATTCCCTAGGAAGTATTTTAAGATACGGACTATGTTAGGACAAACAACTGAAAAAGAACCCAAGTTCCTTTATATCTGGATTTTGAATTCTAGTGAAGGAGAACAGACAATCAACACTTTAAAATGCATACCGTAGTGCTGACAGTGGTAAATGTTTAAAAGAAAAAATAAGCAGACTAGGAGATAGAAAATGAGAGCAGTGCCACTTTGGATGCGTGGCTAGGGAAGGCCTTTGAAATGGAGACCGGAGAGCAAAGACCTGAATACAGGGAGGGAGGCCATGACTCTGTGCTATTTCCTAAATTCTTATTATTTTTTAGCAAACACATGTTGTACCAAGGATCAAAGATTATTAAGACCTATCTCCTGACTTCAAGAAGCTTGTTGACCATTGAGGAAGGCTGAATTCCATAAATAATACAAGAGCAAACATAAATGGAAACACATAATGAAAATCAAAACACAAGCACTATAGCAAAATGACTATCATGTGCTACAGAGGCAAGAAGGAGGAAGCCATGTGATCTACCAAACAGCTGTCTCCTACAGGAAAATTGTAGGCCAGGCTAAGAAACTTGGATTTAATCCCAAGAGTTGAGGGAAGCCATAGGAGTGTTATGAGCAAAGATGTAACACATTTAGTGCTTCTAAAGGATTGCTCTGGCAGTCTTCTTGAGACTTGAAGAGGGACAAGGAGAGAAGCAGAGCTACCAGTTAAAGCTACCATTAGAAAGCAGTGGTCTCAACAAAACAGGATGGTGGCTTAGACGAGCCATTGACACAAGTAGCAGCATTCTAGACATGCTCAATAGATGGGGACAACAGAGTTAGTCAATATATTGGATGTGGGAAAGAGGGGATTCAAGGTGTAAGTGTTTGCAATGTGAGCCTTCAAGCTTGTGGACATCTACTTTTACCTTCTCACGTCACTATTGATGATTTATTATATCATTTAGAACTTGAGGTATTATTCCAGAAAAACTGGAGAAACATATTTCTCAGAAATGGATCAATTTCACAGTATCTGTAGAAGATGGTAATACTAGCTCTTTGTTATTGAGTTATTTAACATCCTTAAATGGTGGAGGTTATGACAAATGTCGGCTTTGGTAAGGAAGTGGGGGATATTCATTTGATGAGTGTATTAGTCCGGGTTCTCTAGAGGGACAGAACTAATGAGTTAGATGTATATGTAAAGGGGAGTTTATTAAGGAGTATTGAATCACATGATCAATAGTTGAAGTCCCACGATAGGCTGCCTGCAACCTGAGGAGCAAGGAAACCAGTCTGAGTCTCAAAACCTCGAAAGTAGGGAAGCTGACAGTGCAGCCTTTAGTCTGTGGTCAAAGGTCTGACAGCCCCTGGCAAACCACTGGTGTAAGTCCAGGAGTCCAAATGCTGAAGAATTTGGAGTCCGATGTTCAAGGGCAGGAAACATCCATCACTGGAGAAAGATGGAGGCCGGAAGACTCAGGCCAGTCTGCTCTTTCCATGCCTGCTTCTATGCTGGCACCTGATTAGATGCTGCCCACCCAGACTGAGGGTGGGTCTGCCTCTCCCAGTCCACTTACTCAAATGTTAATCTCCCTTGGCAATACCCTCACAGATGCACCCAGAAACGATACTTTGCATCCTTCAATCCAATCAAGTTGACAGTCAATATTAACCATCACAATGAGTGATTTCCGGGATAGAAATATTTTATAGAATGTAGTGAAGGAAGCCACATTAGCCCTTTTCAGGCCAGTACCATACCTACAACTTTTACCTTCTGAAGCAAATATAAATATACTCATTCAAATGTATATCAAGCTCCAGAAAAGTTGATCAGAATGAAGCAATTCCTCTTCAATGAGTCATTCTTCCTCAAGCTATCCCTCTGTTGCTCTCTTCATGATTCAGTTAACTCTTCAAGGACATGTATAAAAGTTGTAGCCCTTTTCCAACTTTGCCAATTCTCCATTCCCAATGCATAAAATCTTATTCATTTTATAGGTTTTGTGGTATATACTTTTGCTCTCAGGAAGTTCTTTTCTTTATATCTAACACTAATATTTATTACTGTTATTAAGTTTTATCACTGCTTTTTAACTAATGATGAAAAATGTTTGCTTATACATAGCACCCTTTCTACAGCATAGGAGAAAAAGTCATTGCATATATGTCTGTCAGAAGACTTCCACTAAGGTAGTCCCTAACTCTTCTTATGTGGTCAGTCATTAATTCCTCTTTCTCACTGTTGTCTTCTGACTACTCTTCAAGGTCTCCATCTGTCTCATAAGTCCTAAAATGAAGAGATGATAATTTTAAAAGACTGATCCTATTCTAGAGAATTACAAATATTATCTCATGTATTAGTCCGTTTTTACGCTGCTGATAAAGACATACCCAAGACTGGGTAATTTATAAAGGAAAGAGGTTTAATTAACTCATAGTTACACATGGCTGGGGAGGCCTCACAATCATGGTGGAAGGCAAAAGGGAGCAAAGTCATGTCTTATATGGATGGTAGCAGTCAAGAGAGCTTGTGTAGGGGAACTCCCCCTTACAAAACCATCAGATCTTGTGTGACTTATTCACTATCATGAGAACAGCATGAGAAAGACACACCGCTATGATTCAATTACCTCCCACAACACGTGGGAATTGTGGGAGCTACAATTCAAGATGAGATTTGGGTGGGGATGCAGCCTAACCATATCATCTCATCATTATGCTCAATTTTCTTATGAGGAAACTTAGAGAGAATATGTTATTATACTTGCCGAGAGTCACACATCTAATAACTTAGGGCCAGATCAGAGGTTGAAGCTGAGCTGTATAATGTCAGAGATTGTGCTCCTTATCAACACCTAAGTAAATGTCTCACTAATGCTGTTTGTTTGGGTGATTGGTTTGTTGCCTGACTTGGTTTCTTTACTTTTCTCCTGCTCTAGTCTGCTTCTGATCATACACCTCAGGGACTGTTTCAAACTATCAGTATTCTCCTTCAACTCACTCTTTTAGTCTAGCCTTTTCATTTTTATAAGATCACCTTCTTTCACGTTACAGAGAAAACGGAGCTGTTGGCTGTTAACTTCTGCAGGTTCCTGTTTGTTCTTCAGAGTTTGACTCATGCAGGAGTGTCCTTTCCAAACTGTCTCAGAAAAGAGACTGAGGCCGATGCTTCCTGTGATGAGTCAATGTCCAGCATGGCCTCTAGCACCCCTACTCTTTCATTGCTTTTTTTTCCTGCTTACTGTTCAGTCCTTGGGTTTTACCCACTTCTACCATTCTTCAGAGTATATTCCAGTGTCCCCACCTAAAATTTCTTCTTTAAAATATACCCCCTTAAATAATTACCTTTATTTATCTTTTCTTCACCAACAAACTTTTTGAAACATTACTGTATGTTGTATTTCCACTTTCTTAAAATTTATTTTCTTAATTAAAATTGCAAAGAAACTACCATCAGAGTGAACAGGCAACCTACAGAATGGGAGAAAATTTTTGCAATCTACTCATCTGACAAAGGGCTAATATCCAGAATCTACAAAGAACTCAAACAAATTTACAAGAAAAAAAAAACAGACCCATTAAAAAGTGGGCAAAGGATATGAATAGAAACTTCTCAAAAGAAGACATTTATGCAGCCAACAGACACATGAAAAAATGCTCATCATCACTGGCCATCAGAGAAACGCAAATCAAAACCACAATGAGATACTATCTCACACCAGTTAGAATGGTGATCATTAAAAAGTCAGGAAACAACAGGTGCTGGAAAGGATGTGGAGAAATAGGAACACTTTTACACTGTTGGTGGGACTGTAAACTAGTTCAACCATTGTGAAAGACAGTGTGGCGATTCCTCAGGGATCTGGGACTAGAAATACCATTTGACCCAGCCATCCCATTACTGAGTATATACCCAAAGAAATATAAATCATGCTGCTATAAAGACACATGCACACGTATGTTTATTGCAGCACTACTCACAATTAGCAAAGACTTGGAACCAACCCAAATGTCTAACAATGATAGACCGGATTAAGAAAATGTGGCACATATACATCATGGAATACTATGCATCCATAAAAAATGATGAGTTCATGTCCTTTGTAGGGACATGGATGAAGCTGGAAACCATCATTTTCAGCAAACTATTGCAAGGACAAAAAAACCAAACACCGCATGTTGTCAATCATAGGTGGGAATTGAACAATAAGAACACTTGAACACAGGAAGGGGAACATCACACACCAGGGCCTGTTGTGGGGTGGGGGGGAGGAGGGAGGGATAGCATTAGGAGATATACCTAATGTAAATGATGAGTTAATGGGTGCAGCACACCAACATGGCACATGTATACATATGTAACAAACCTGCACGTTGTGCACATGTACCCTAGAACTTGAAGTATAATAAATATATATATATAAATAAAAAATAAATAAAATAAAATTGCAATTAAAATCTGATATACTCCACTGAGAATCTCATGGAAGTAATTTTTCTAGTGTGGCCTGTGACCCATTGCAAATCAGTCTTCACCTAGTCACAAACTCCCCTCCTTTGGCTTTGCAGCCTGCCTCTCTCATGCCTTTCCTCCTCTTCACTGATTTCTTCCTGGTTTCCCTCTGTGACTTCTGCTTTTTCCTGGCATTCTCTTCTGTTTTTAGTGTACTTACCTGCCTTATTTGATCCCATATTTTCCCAGGACTTTACCACTGACAGGATGCTGACCCCCAAATCAACATCTTCATATGCATCTTTCTCCTGAGCTCCAGACCCTCCTTTTCAGCTACCTGATAGATAGTGCTGTTTGAATGGCTTTTGTCATTCCAACTTTCATGTGCTCCAAATGGAACACAGCACACTTCTTTCCTCATTCCAAATCTGTGCTTCCCTATCTTGGCTAAGGGTGTCATGGTTCACTCTTATTTTTCCAGAAAAACACTTGGGCTTAATTTTTTCATTTTGTCCATTCTGGCTGGACAATTAACTTCTTATTCCCCATGTACCACCTCCACGCCTTTACTTTGAAAACTCCTACTTGATCTGGAACATTCAGATTTATCTCCTCTATTACATTTCCCAGATGCTCCATAGAAATAAGTGGCTCTGTTTTCAGCATTTTCTTGGAAGTCCAAAGAGTAATTTATCCTCATGTGTACACGTCTAGCTTTCTCTACTGGGCTGTAAGCTACCTAAAGGAGATGACCTTGTTAATTCATTATTCCTACCATCTACCACAGAGGAGGTCCTTAATATATGTTTGTAAAATAACTGCTTGTCTTCTTTAATATCTCACATTATTGAGCTCTATGTGCGCAAACATCTATGACTACATCTCGTTTGGTTTGCATTCACTTTCCTATTAAACCAGAATGCTCCAGATACAGTGTTTCAAAACCACTGGTCACACTCCATTGCCTTCAAAAATAAAATCCAAATTCATTGATGTGGTTTAGAACAATCGCAACTAGACACTATAGATCATACCTAGTTCATAGTCATATCTTCCACTCCTTCTGAGCCTTAAATTCAATTAGTGAGCCCTGCCTAGGATCGGTGTGCGCTTTTATGTCTCTGAATGCTGCCCAAACTGTTTTTTTTTCTATCTCCCTTGCTTGATTCCCTGCCTGTACACTTCTTCTCCACAGGCAAGCTGAGGGTCACCTTGACTGAGCAGACTTCTTATGACCTTGCATAAAATAGATGGCTTCCCCCACCTTGCCTTCATAGCACATGGTACACATTTTACTATAGTACCAATGTTGTGATTTTTATGTTTTCACTTATGCTAGTTTATGTGCTATTTATAGAATTCTGTCTTTACGGCTGGCCAATGAGCCCTTTGAAGTCAGTGTTAATTATCTTTGAAACTTGGTACAATTTACATTTGCCAAAAAAGAATGTGCACTCAGTACACATTTATCATGAAATTAACTAGCATGTAATTATAATCTTAGGTATGATAATAAAGCAGTGAATCAATATTTGCCTTACAAAATAAATTGCTTTTCTTTGTTAGGCTTCCCAAGCTTTATTTTTCCAAAAAAGAAATCACAAATATTCTGGCAGATTCTTTGCTCTATGATTGAAAATGCAGTCTCCGTCTTTGTTCAGATAGAAGGAAAAATAAAAATTGAAGAAGAGCAGTTGCAGCACACCTGTGTTGGCAAGCTGTCAAACTCTCTGTCCCTGACATTAATTGGATCATCCGTTGAATGGGGGAACTGATGGAAAATGCAATGAGAGGAGATGACTGGGGAAAATAACTGCTATCCTGCCCATCAACAGTGATGAAAGTGATACCCGGAGAGTTATCTTTTATCCCATACAAACAGATGGCTTCAAACAACACACACTGCATACAACCAGATTTCTTATGCTCACCTCTAAGCACTTAGGCCAGCTTGAGAAATCAAAAATTAAAATATAAATAACAAAGAGCACTTCCTGGGTGGTGAGTCACTAAGCTGAAAGCAATTATCCACTGATTTTTTTGTCTCTGCCTGCTGTTTTCTTAAATGACCTGCTATAGGAGAGTAATTTTATAGTGGGCTTGGGCCAAACGTTAGGAAAAAGTTGTCCTGATTTCCACTTACACTGGTTACACTTAACAGAAACAATAAAATGAAAGACAAATAAAACAAGTAAAGACACGTTTATTGATTGTATCCACACCTCTACTGCAAGAGAAAATGAATCTCTGAAGAAATCTCTATTAAGATTTATGCAGTTTTGTTAGGAGAAAAATAACCAGAAATTTGCACCCAGCTGTTTACGTGAGATGTAAACAGATGATGTAAACTCAGACTAAGGAAACAAGGTGGTTAAACAATAAGAAAAGGGTATTGTAGAAATCTTAGGGGAATATCAGAGTCAACATGTGTGATGTGTTTTATTCTTTACCCATTTGGAATTTTAGCTAATTCCACTTAAAAAAATACAAAAACAACTTATACCTGGCCAAGCAAATACTCATCTTAATTTGCAATGCTTAAAGAATCTGTAAATTGGGCAAATGTGTTTATGTATGAGGTCTCCTCACTCAAATAATGAAAAGTTGTTGCTTGTTTTGTTCCCAGATTACTTATACTTTATAATTTAGAGAAGACAGGAGAAAGGACTATGGAGTGAAGGCATTAAAAAAGCAAAATTTTCAGCCGGGCGCGGTGGCTCACGCCTGTAATCCCAGCACTTTGGGAAGCCGAGGCGAGTGGATCACGAGGTCAGGAAGTCGAGACCATCCTGGCTAACATGGTGAAATCCTGTCTCTACTAAAAAGTACAAAACATTAGCCGGGCATGGTGGCGGGCGCCTGTAGTCCCAGCTACTCGGGAGGCTGAGGCAGGAGAATGGAATGTCATGAACCTGGGAGGCGGAGCTTGCATGAGCTGAGATCGAGCCACTGCACTCCAGCCTGGGCGACAGAGCGAGACTGCATCTCAAAAAAAAAAAAAAAAAAAAAAAAAGCAGCAAAATTTTCTATGCCAAAAAGGCCTGAAGAAAGGAGGCAGGTGTTCATAGAGGAAGAAAAATATCTTGAAAAAATACACAGATATGGGTTGAGCTGTGGAAGACCAGGGTGGATAAATTTGAGAAAGAGATATATGATTTAAGGAAGGTAGTTGTAGTATGAAATTCCTTTCACTTTTCTCTAAGAGATTCAGCTGGAGGTTAGCATAAATGCCATTTTATTGTTTTCATATTCCTCTACTGTGCTTCTTTCTGTGCAATTATTTGCATAGACTGGGTCACAAGGAGTCTCAGCATT
The DNA here is from genome assembly GCF_000001405.40 of Homo sapiens. Taxonomy (NCBI): domain Eukaryota; kingdom Metazoa; phylum Chordata; class Mammalia; order Primates; family Hominidae; genus Homo; species Homo sapiens. The sequence continues at coordinate 107,590,678 of NC_000002.12, forward strand.
TACTGTGGTTATAATATTAAAGACACAATTTTTTTTTGCGAGTTTTTTTGGTACAGTTTTCTTTTCTAGGCAAGAGAACACTGGAGGGAGACTTGGCTCATTGGGGGAAGACAGTGGATCTGCATTTAAGTAGGATGATTTTAGTTGTGTGTGAAGCACCCACATGAAGACGTGGGCTGTGAACCTGGGCAGGGGGTGAGGGTCAGGGCTGTAAGTCAATATGTGACTCCACCAGCTTTGGTGTAGATGTAAATACAAAGTTCCAGGAGAGAGGCTGACGTTTCTTCATGTCCCTCCTCCTCTAATTTCCCTGTCACTAAACACATTTTTGGCAGAAACTTATCTTTTGTGTCTCAGAGCTTTCACTTAGCCTGATGCAGCTACACTCAATGAGCTGCTATTTGCCTTTACAAAGCTGGCTCCTGTAGGTCCTTTCAGTATCTGCTTATGGACCACATACTCAGAAATGACTCCCTTGGCCATGCCCACCAGGCCACTCATTTCTTATCTTCTATGTTGTTCATTCTCTTTAGAGGACTTGTGAATGTTCTATAGATCTTCCTCTTCTGATTGTCAACCCTGGGAAGACGGGGATTATGTCTGATGTGTCCACCAATTTAAACCCTGTCTCTAGCACATAGTGCATGTTTAATTAATCATTGAATTAAATAATAGGGTTGCAGAGGAGAGAAATTAAAGAAAGCAACTTTTTTGGAGGGACTTTTACCCACCTAGTACTGTGAAGAGTTATATTAAAAAATTAAATTGTGCAAAGAAAAAATTTGAAGATGCCAGAAGATTACATGAAACAGAAAAAGGAGAAATGGAGTCCCGGAGACATACACTTATTTAAAAGTGCTCGTGTGACATAGAAAGCAGGTGCAAATTAATGACAAGATAGAAGATGCCAGGAAGGTTAGTAGAGATAAAAATCAGAGGGAAAATGGTTGTTTAGGAACCTGCAGGAAGTTAGGAAACACATACTCCCTCTTGTCTCTTCAGAACCTCAGCCCTGTCTTGTTATAACTTAGGTATTTATAGTAAGGGTTTCATGCAAGAAAGGAATGTGTAAAGTACCATTCTATTAACTCACACTGAAGAACTGCTGAGAGACCAGGAGTCTCTAAGGGGCATTTGGTTTGACACTCTTGTTTTACTGAGTGGAAAATTTAACTCAGAGATTCGAAATGATAGTATAGAAACAATACTGGACTAGATCTCTGAGCTATAGATGAGCATTTGAAGATGTTAATATAATGCTGAGAGGCAGCTTGGGCCTTGAATCCATCTTTAAGCGCTTCACAATTCAGCTGCCCTAAGTCCTGGCCCTGTAGGGGCTTTCTGCTCTACAGTGTCCCCCAAACCGGTGCTCTTTCTGATTCACATACTTGCAGCAAGTGACTTCTTGAGATCACTTTGAGATTCTGTGGTTGTAAGTGCCCAGAGCAGGCAGGAATCCAGGAGCTTAATTGTGTTAGTTTTATTCAGAGCTGAACACAATGAGTACAGATTGTGTCTCTCTTGGTGGGAGACTTAAATGTTTGAGTGCAATGGGGGTTTGAAATCTACAGTCCCAAAAGGTTCTCCTAAGGGTTTATTTTCTGCCTCCTCTGAGATTTGCCCCAAAGCATCAACGGTGTCGTTCCTCCCTTCCTCCTCCCTTCTCTCCCGGGAGTCTTTCTACTGACACAAATTAGCCTTATCTCTAAAGCCATAGCAGTCTCAAAATAGCTGTCCCCTTTGCTCAGGTTTCATGGCACTTCCCAAAAATGAAGCCATTTGGCTTTGGTTACAGATTGAGCCTGACTCGCTTGACTCTGCTTGAAAGGCATGAGCCCAGAACTCAGGAAGTCCTGTCTTCCCCAGAGCACCAGGAAGGAGGAAGTAGACAGAAGCCACAGCTGCATGGGGAAAAAGGATCTGGATGCAGAGTCCTGGGCCCCCTGCTCCTTCAGGCACTGAAGCCCATGGCTGCAGTGTCTGGGTCCACACTGAGGCTAGGCATCATCTGCTCTCTGTTGTATCTTTCCCCCGTCTTCAACCTTCTGTTATACTTTTCAAGCTCTCTTTTCCTTTTTCTCTACTTCTCTTTTAATTTACTTTTCAACTTCCCCTACTCTTTCCTCTCTATTGTCCAGTTGTGGCAGATTGTTAAAACTGTCATTTTGCCCATGGATCTGCTCACTGATTCTGTTTTTTTTTTCAATTTATTTTTAAAATTTCAATAATTTTGGGGGACACGTGGTTTGTCTTTACATGGTTGTTGGTTTATTAAATAGAGTGTCCTTTTCCCAATGTATGTTTTTGTATGCTTTTTCTTTTTTTTGATTTCTATTTTTATTTTAAGTTCTGGGGTACATTTGCAGGATGTGCAGGTTTGTTACATAGGTAAGTGTGTGCCACGGTGATTTGCTGTACCCATCAACCCATCACCTAGGCATTCAGCCTAGCATGCATTAACTATTTTTCCTAATGCTCCGTCTCCCCTCACCGCACCTCCCAACTGGCCCCAGTGTGTATGGTTCCCCTTCCTGTGTCTGTGTGTTCTCAATGTTCAGCTCCCATTTACAAGTGAGAACAAGTGGTGTTTTGTTTTCAGTTCCTGCATTAGTTTGCTGAGGCGGCCAACAAACATGAAAAAAAGCTCAAAGTCACTGATCTTTAGATAAATACAAATCAAAATCACAATGAGATACCATATCACGCTAGTCAGAATGGTTATTATTAAAAAGTCAAGAAACAACAGATGCTGGCGAGGTTGTAGAGAAATAGGAACAATTTTACACTGTTGGTGGGAATATAAATTAGTTCAACCATGGTGGAAGATGGTGTGGTGACTCTGCAAGGGTCTAGAACTATTAGACCCTGCAATCCCATTACTGTATATATACCCAAAGGAATATAAATCATTCTATTACAAAGATACATGCACATGTATGCTCACTGCAGCACTATTCACAATAGCAAAGACATGGAGTTAACCCAAATGCCCATCGATGATAGACTGGATAAAGAAAATATGGCACATATACACAATGGAATACTATGCAGCCACAAAAAGGAATGAGATTATGTCCTTTGCAGGGACATAGATGGAGCTGGAAGCTGATTCTTAATTACATTAACACAACATCTTTTTTTCCAGGCAAACATAGCTTCCACTGAAGGAAGTACTTCTCAAAATCCAAGTTGCCAGATGGAATCCAGTGATAAGGAATTTCAGAGTCTACATAAAATTATACTAAAGCCATTTCTCAACAGTTAGCGTGATGAAGACTGGATTTATTTTTTCCATTGCTCTACAAGTTCTTAATTTATGATGAAAATATTACCACATGAGAACATGAAACCCTCATTTCAATGCTCACAAACTCTACTCAGTATGCTCTTCCTCCTAAAATTCTAGGTCTGTTAAGGATCCCCACATATTACATAGCCTGATGGTTCTCAACCCTGGTGACACATTTGACATACAGGGAGTTTTTTATTTTTGTGCTTTTTTTTTTTAATACTGATGTCTGGGTACCAGTCATAGAGATATAGATTTAATTGCTGTGGAGTGATGCCCAGTCTTCTGTAAGTTGAAAAGCTTTTCATATTATTTTCCAGTTCAGCCACTATTGAAAACAGCAAATATCATCTTTTCTCCTGTTCCCTGGAGGTGCAATGATAGAAGCTTGACCAGGGCAGGGTGTTTTGTCTGTCTTGTTCGTTGCTGAATTCTAGAATCATATACATTGCCTGGTGCATAGTGGGCACCAACTAAATATTGTTTCCTAATTGAATCTTGGATATTTCTTAAAAGGACCAGCCCCAAGTTATTTCTGTGTTACCAAGCATAAAAAGAAAAGCTCTCTACCATACAGAATTGTAAATGGCACTATGTTTCCATTGCCATAATTAGGAAAGACTACCAAAAGTGGTTATGACAAATGTCTAAAAATCCTCCCAAGCTGTAAAATATTGTAATCTGATCTCCACTGTGCACAAGACCAACGTTCACATGCTACTTTTTGCTGCAGGTTCCCTATGAAGATACCCGTTAGCATTCCCACACATAGCACAAAGGCTTCTCCATCATTTTGACCCCAAAATCGGGGGCGGAGGGGCACGCTCACTCCTACTTGCACATTATATTACATATACATTTCAGAAAATGACAGGAAAAAGAGCAAACACAGAAGACAGGCTTGCAATCAGGTTTTATCCAGAAGATAACAAGCATATGTAGAGATAATGGGATCAAAATAATGAAGCCTTCCAGTAAACACACCGTTCAGCAAATTCCCAGGTGCTCAGCACAAAGGAAGAAGTGGCAGGCAGGCTCATTCATCTGGATCTAGGAGACAACAGATTCCCTTGTAACTCAAGAGCCTTTTGGGAGCTTCTCCTGGAAGAGTGAATGATCAGCTTCTCCACAGTGGAACCAGCAATAGCATATAAAGGTTAGTGCTGTTTCACGTGGGTAGGTTAAATTAGAAAGAAAACTTAGCCATTCATTCCTGCTTGGACCCACAGATTCCCTATGTGGGGTGACTGGTGTCAAGATTGAGGATTGAAGCAGGCAGGACTGTGGCCAGGGATTCAGAGAAGGGCCCTCTATCAATCCCAGGTGGTTTTTGGAAAATGCAGGTGGCTCCTGCTGAAAACAGTCATCAGCTGCCTTAAAAACACTGAAATATTCAATGTGTTTCCAAGTTGTCTATTTGAGTGGGGCAGAGTGATGAATGCAGTGCTTCTCAAGCATTAATGCAGTGCCTCTCAAGCGTTAATGACAGGAGTCATTCGGTGGGGAGGAGGCTGTTAAAATGCACAGTCTGATTCAGCAAGTGGGGCGGTACATTGCATTTGTGACACAGTCTCAGGTGATGGCCGCGCTGCCAGTCTGGACCACTTTCTGAGTAGCAAAGCTTCAAAGAGCCCCTCTTGCAGCAGCAGGACACAATGCATTGGTTGACTCTGCCTTTGCTTCAAATGGGAGCATTTAAAAAGCCACTTGAATTCCCTGACATGGATTCCTCAGCTATAACATGGAAACATAGTGAAGTATGTTCATTAGCATTAACATTATGAAATTAAGTAAATCAATGCTTCCTAGCTGTCTGTCCTTAAAGATGTAGAGGAACTTCTGTAAGCTTCCTTTCCTTTTCCTGTTTTGCAAAGTAGATACTGTACCATTGAGATGTGTGTCTAAGGCATCTGGAACTTTGCTGGGCATATACGAGGCACTGAAGAGACAGGGAGCTCTTTATTTATGATGTGCAAGTATGCTTTGGTGCTGATCTCAGAATCTGACTCAGAATCTGAAAATAAAAGTGTTACAGTGATGACGTGCTGAGACATTCCTCGCAGGCCAAGGAGTTGAAAGGAAGGCAATTGCATTTCCTTTTTTTTCTCTTTTTGTTTTCCAAAGTGTTTACGGTGCCTTGGGAGAATGCCCTTCATTTTACCTGGAGGAAAAATACTGTTTTAAAAGTCGGCAGCAAAAATATCCCCATGTTGTACAAGAATTGTTCAGTGTCTGTCACTCATTTTGCTCCATTTCGGTGTTCTATATTTTCTGCTTGCTTTCACAGGTGATAATGTGCACCAGTAAAAAATAGAAGCAAGAGGCCCACCTACAGCTGCCCTAAATACTCTGAGGTAAATTTGAAATTTCTTTAAAGAAAAAAATAAGCGTCCTGTGAAGGAGAAGATAGCTGACATTTAAAAATACATTTTTGGTCCTGGTTAAAACAACTAATGAACACTTATTTTTATCTCAAAATTAATTCTGAAACGATGTACAGATGAGCATATGCTATCTTCTCACTGCTTATGATAAAAACAGAGCGACATGAAGGAACCACTTGAACTCTCAGAGCTCGTGTGCCCTAATCTGTAGGAAACAATCAATTAACAACGCCTTGCTCCTTTTAAGTGTTTCTATGTGAATCACATAAAATAAATGGAGTGAGCCTGGAGATGCCAAGGAATCCAATGCCATGTTACCACATAATCAAGTCTTTGGTCAGTCATTCCATCACAAGAAATAAGAAAACGTTTCTAACTGCTCATGGAATTGTTTTTGAATTAATTATATAAACTTCTAGATTAAAAAATTGAACCCAAGAGGCCAGGCGCAGTGGCTCACGCCTGTAATCCCAGCACTTTGGGAGGCCAAGGCGGGTGGATCACGAGATCAGGAGATTGAGACCATCCTGGCTAACATGGTGAAACCCTGTCTCTACTGAAAATACAAAAAAATTAGCCGGGCATGGTGGCGGACGCCTGTAGTCCCAGCTACTCAGGAGGCTGAGTGAGGCAGGAGAATGGTGTGAACTCAGGAGGCAGAGCTTGCAGTGAGCAGGGATCGTGCCACTGTACTCCTGCCTGAGCTACAGAGCAAGACTCCGTCTCAAAAAAAAAAAAAAAAAAATGGAACCCAAGAACAACAAAAAATAGGACAAGTTGCCAAAAAAGGCTACCTTCTGGAGTTGCTGGAGTGGCATGAGTTGAGGTTTGTAAAGCCCCTGAGCAGTAGCACTATGGAAGTGGTTGTAAAGGAAACCAGGAAAATCAAGCCTGGCTTCTAAGAGGAGTCTCACTGGGGGTTCTTTCAGGTGGGGAAATTCTCAGAGGCAAGTGTGTTATATGCCAACCTTGGTCTATGTTTTTCATGTTTTGTGGTTTTTTTTATTTTTTATTTTTATTTTTAAGACAGGGTATCACCCTGCCACTCAGGCTAGAGTGCAGCAGCACAATCAATTACAGGTCACTGCAGCCTCGATCTCCCAGGCTCAATTCCTCCTACCTTAGTCTCCCGAGTAGTTGGGACTATAGGCACGTGCCATCAGGCCTGGCTAATTTATTTCATTGTTTTTTTTTGTTTTGTTTTGTAGAGATGAGGTCTCACCATGTTGCCCAGGCTTGCTTTGAACTCCTGGGCTCAAGCTATCTGCCTGCCTCAGCCTCCCAAAGTGCTGGGATTACAGGCATGAGTCACCATGCCCAGCCTCTCTGCTTGTCCTGTTTTTAGGTGAGATCACCTTGGTCATTCAGTGTGGGCCCTGGACACTTGGACATGTATTCATCAAAGGAAGTGTATTGGCATGAGAGCTTGAAGGCTACTGGAGGAGGTTGTGTTAGAAGGAAAGTAAGCCTGTAAGACTAGCTTGTTCCAGTTGAAGCCAGTATGGTCTCCTAACAGACCAGGGAAAGGGGACAGCAGGAGGAGGCAACAATCCTAAGTACAGCTTCAGGACTTCTTCTCTCATTTCCCTTGACCCAGGCCCCCTCCCTCTCCCCCAGACTTAACAAACATGGAGTGAGGATTTGAACATGGAGCAGGGTTTTGTTCATAATTTTAAACTACACTTGAATTACTCCTTATTATTAGTCCATCAGTTTACTCTTTCAAAGCGTCCAAAATACTTGATACTGTGGGTAATAGGAAGACTCACAGAATATATACCTTTAAGACAGAATACCGCCGGTCGCGGTGGTTCATGCCTATAATCCCAACACTTTGGGAGGCTGAGGCGGGCGGATCAAGAGGTCAAGAGATCGAGACCAGCCTGGCCAACATGGTGAAACCCCATCTCTACTAAAAATACAAAAATTAGCCAGGTGTGGTGGCGCGTGCCTGCAATCTCAGCTACTCAGGAGGCTGAGGCAGGAGAATCGCTTGAACCCAGGAGGCGGAGGTTGCAGTGAGCCAAGATCATGCCACTGCACTCTAGCCTGGGTGACTGAGCGAGACTCCATCTCAAAAAAAAAAAAAAAAAGAATATTAAAAAGTAATCTTCAAAGTGTGAACACATCAATTAGCAGAGCATGTCTAATTTGCCTACTACTAACAAAGGCAATAATCCTAATTTTGAAATCAGGAACCTAAAATTCATGGGAAGATCCATCTGTTCTTTGTAAGCATCTCAGTCTTTCAAATACTGCCAATTCTTCATTAAGGCAATAATTTGTGGTATTATCCCTATTAGCCAGTTTTTAAGAGTTGTTACAACAAATCATAAAGAAACAACTGCTACAAAAAAGGAAGGGCATGAGGCTCATGAAAAAGAACTGTCCCGCTCTGCAAGGAGCAGAAGACTAAACTTTCTCAATGTTTTGACCTGTCTCACACATGCTTTCACTGCGGCAGAGTGTTTCATCTCCACAACCAGAGGGAAAACTGGGAAGTTTTAGATCTAGATAGTATACTTATCTATCAAAAAGTCAACTTTTTTCTAGCACTGTTAATATTGATCGGTTTTTACTATCTGTAAAGAAAAATAAGTTGCTGACCAGTGAATGCCTGTAAGTATTAAAGCACGTATTTCTAAGGAGAAAAATGCAAGATAATCTCACTTTATACCATAGATAATGTCCTTAAAACTTACTGCATGAATCAGGTTTTGAGAGCATGGAATCATCATTTTTAAAGTGAAAATTTTCTTTTTAAGGATATGAGTCAGTAGGTTACTTTGCAATGGAAAAATACTTATTTCGTTTATTAGAAAAGTAGAAAATTTTTATGCTAGGTATTTTTTGTGTGCTATACACAGAATTATTATTAACCTAAACCACTCCTCTCCTGTATATGCTTTTTTTTTTTTAAGACGGAATTTCACTCTGTCACCTAGGCTGGAGCTGGAGTACAGTGGCACGACACCAGCTCACTGCAACCTCCGCCTCCCAGGTTCAAGCAATTCTCCTGCCTCTGCCTCCCAAGGAGCTGAGACTATAGATGCCTCTCACCACACCAGGCTATTTTTTTTTGTATTTTCAGTAGAGACAGGGTTTCATCATGTTGGCCAGGCTGGTCTCGAACTCCTGACTGACCTCAAGTGATCCACCCAGCTTGGCCTCCCAAAGTGCTGTGATTACAAGCATGAGCCATTACACCCAAACCTGTGTGTATGTGCGTGTGTGTGTGTGTATATATATATATATAAATACTATATATATATACACAAATACTATATATATACACAAATACTATATATATACACAAATACTATATATATACAAATACTATATATATATATACAAATACTATATATATATATACAAATACTATATATATATATATATATATATATGCTAGTTGTTAAAAGAAAGATGGTTAAAGCCATGCTAGTTCTTAAAAGAAAGATGGTTAAAGTCAAAATATGTAATTACATTGGCAATTTCTAATTTCTAAGTTAGGCAGGAGCCCACCTAGGTATCACCAACCTCTCTACAAAGACGTAAAAATTTAAAGAGGTGGCACTCTCAGAGGGGGACAAAAATAAAAATAAACAAAAGACACTTCAATCTTGTTGCAGGGTGCCTTTCTCTTACTTTAACTATGTACATAAAATGAAACAGAACATGATTTTCTTTTTAGTATATTTTCATGTAGATTGATATTCCTAAAGGACCGATAAAAGTAGAATAACTTTTCTGCCAGAACATCTTCAGAGTCTTTGGTGGGCTCAACAACTATAAATTCTACATGTTTGTGTCCTTTCTTATCCTTTGAGTGCTCTTCATATGTACACATCATAATTCTATCCCCCTCTTAAGTGCCACCTCCTTCAGCATCCTTTCCTAATCTTTCTAATTCTCCCTCTTCTGAATCCATCTCTTTTAAATTTAGGGTACTAATCTGATTCTATTTTCAGTAGAACTATTAGGTTAATTTTTCAGTTATCTATATACCATAAGCTTTTTTAGATATAAATATTGACTATTTATCCTTATATTTTCTACAACACTGAGAATATACCTGCACACACAGAAGCATAGTAATGAATGAGCTTTGATTCTAAAGGTAGCCCTAAGGAATGATTTAGCAATGGCCTGATCTACTTTACTTTCAATCTATTTGTATCTTTTATATAAATAGAAAAGTATGTGTCTTGTCAACAGCATAGAGTTGGGTCATATTTTTAAATTCAGTCTAATAATCTCTGTCTTTTGATTGTATTGTTTGACCCATTTACATTTATTTTTTTATACAGTTAGATTTACATCTGCCATTTTAATATTTTTGCTGTCTCACATCTTTTTGTTTCTCTTTTTCTCTTTTATTTTACATTAAGTCAATATTTTCTAATGTAGATTTTAATTTCATTAAAAATTTTTTCTCTATATTTTAAAATTTATTTTTTAGCAATTGCCCTAGGGTTTACTACATTTATCATACCTTATCAGAATGAACTTCAGATTTATATTAGTTTAACTCTACTGACAGAGAAATGTTATCTTTACATAGTTCTATTCCATTTTCCCCTTATTGTGGTGTTACTATTATACACATTGTATCTCTAAATGTAATAAACAATACATGGTTATAATTATAACTTAACCATCTATAGTCATTTTCTTATTCCACTCACCTTAGAATTGCTACTACCAACCTCTCTTGTGCTGTTTTTGGTAAACATAGTATACGCATATTATATTTCTCTATGATGTAGATCCAACATTACATTTTATGTATAAAAGCATAAATATGCTTTTATACAGTTAGTTTTTAAATGGGTTATACAAAGAAAGGAGAAAATATGTACTTATACTTTTTTATTACATAGTGGTGCTTTTTCATGTGGATTTGAATTTTTGAATTACTGTCTGGGCTCACTTGTTTCCAGCTTGAAGAAATTCCTTTAGTATTTCTTGTAAGGCAGGTTGACTAGCAATACCTTCTCTCAGTGTTTGTCTACCTGAGACAGTCATTATTTCGCCTTCATTTTTTAAAGATCTATTTTTTGGATAGAGGATTCTTGACAGCTTTTTTTGTTTGTTCATTTTTGTTGTTTGCATTTTAATGCTGCACCTTGAATATGCTATCCCACTGCCTTCTGGCCTGTATCATTTTTGCTGATTTCAGTGACTATTTTATTGATGTTCTCTTATAAGTGATTAGGGTTTTCTTAGTTTTTGTTTATTTCTTTCTTTTCTCTTGCTCCTTTCAAGATTTTCTCTTTGTATTAGACTTTTGACACTTTTATTATGTCAATTTGTAAATCTCTTTGTGTTTACCATACATGAAAACTATGTCTCCTAAATATGTCAGTTATTATTTTTCAATAAATATGCCAAGTTTTCTTCCACTATTTCTTCACAAAATTTTATGCTACATTTTCTCTCTCTTCTCTTTCTGGTACTCCAATTATATCTATATGGGTACCCTTGATGGTGTCCTACATTTCTCTGAGTGTCTGTTCCCTTTTTAAAATGGTTTTCTGTTTTATAGATTGCATAATAGTTTTCAATCTATCTTCCAATTAGCTAATTTTTTCACCTGCTAGTTCAAATCTACTTGAGCACCTTGAGTGAATATCTGTTACTATACTTTTTATCTCAAGAATCTCCACTTGGTTCTTTTTTATAATTACTCTCTCTATTTAATAAAACATTGTCATTATACCACACTTTACTTTTTCAGTTATGCATTCCTTTCATTCTGTGAACACGTTTACTTATCTTCAAGTATTTTATGTTAAATCTGAGATCTGCTTGAACTCACAGTTTGTGTTGCATGTTTTTTTATTGTTTTGTTTTCCTGTCAACTGAGGCATAGTGTTTTGTTTCTTTGCATGTCTCATAATTTTTTCTGGGAAACATGACATTTTAGATAATAGTGACTTCATTAGTCACTAATAGACATTAGTCTATTTTCCCAGTCTTAAGCCTCTGATATTGCTTCTCAGGAAGATACAGCTTTCAGTATGCCCATTTACCCTGTGATGACAGTAGCATTGGTAGGGCTGGCTTTCTCTCTCTCAATAACAACACCTATCTGTTAAACTCTACTATTTGCTGGCTGACCACTCTATTGTTTTCCCAAACACCCCAGGGCATATTGCTCTATGAACTAATTCAATCAATTATGACTTTTTTTTTTTTTTTTGAGTCAGAGACCCACTTTTTTGCCCAGGCTGGAGTACAGTGAGGTGATCATAGCTCACTGCAGCCTCAATGTTCTGGACCCAAGCAATTGTCCCGTCTTGGCCTTTCAATTAGCTGTGACTGCAGGCACATATCACAGTGTCCAGTTTTTTTTTTTTTGTGCTTTTGAATAGATGGGGGCTGACTGTGTTGCCCAAACTGGTGTCAAACTCCTGGCCTCAAGTGATTTTCCTGCCTCAGCTTCCTGAAGCACTGCGATCACAGGCATGAGCCACTGTGTCTGGCCCATGACTTCTTTAAAGAAATAACTTTTAAGGTCTCTTTGATGTTTGTTGTGACTCCCGGAGGGCCCTTCCAAGCTGTTTTATTCTGTTCTCTCCTCCAAACTAGCCAGCCTGCAGTCTAGAGCATGGGTCCCCAACCAGTTTGTGACCTGTTATGAACCAGGCCACACAGCACAAGGTGAGTGGCAAGCAGCCAAGTAAAGCTGAGCTCTGCCTTTTGTCAGACCAGCAGTGGCATTAGATTCTTATAGGAGAATCTCATGTGAACTGCACATATGAAGGATCTATGTTGCATACCTCTTATGAGAATCTAATCCCTAATGATCTGTCACTGTCTCCCATCCCCCCTAGATGGGACCATCTAGTTGCAGGGAAACAAGCTCAGGGCTCCCACTGATTCTACACTATCAGGAGTATGTAATAATAATAGAAATAAAGTGCACAATGAATGTAATGCACTTGAATCACCCCAAAACCCTCCCCTCTGCCCCAGTCTGTGGAAAAATTGTCTTCCATGAAACCAGTCCCTGGTGCCAAAAAGGTTGGGGACCTTTAGTCTAGAGTACATCTTTATTAGGTCTAAAAGTAGTCTCCTAATTGCCTTTCACCACAAACCCCACTATTCCTGAGAGTATCCTTAGGTTTGAATTTCTCCATGCTCTGCTGCAAACAAAGTCAGTCACCTCTGGAAAAGATTAGACAGTTTTAGGACCTAATTCTCCCCTTTCCTTTACTCTGCCTAATGCAAAAATCCTGAGCCAGCATGAGGTTGAGGTGGAGATAACGTCAATCTTCTCTGAGTGACATTCCTGCTCTAGGGGCTGTGCAGTCCATGGAGAGAAGGGGATGGTAACCTGTGAGCTCAACTTCCCTTTCCTGGCATGGAACTAACACCTCACAAGCAGGGTAAGTACAATCGGGACCCTATATTCTCAGGGTGTTTTACCCAAAGTAGAGCCACTTTTCAGTGAATGCGAGCTTGGCAGAAGAAAGGAGTCTCACCTCCAACTGCATTTTCCCTAGTCTTAGTGACAGCTAGGACAGGATGAGAAAACAATTCTGTTCTTCCTGTCATCAGTGGTCATTAGAGAAATGCAAATCAAAACCACAATGAGATACCATCTCACCCCAGTTAGAATGGCAATTATTAAAAAGTCAGAAAACCATAGATGCTGGTGAGGCTGTGGAGAAATAGGAACGCTTTTACAATGTTGGTGAGAGTGTAAATTAGTTCATCCATTGTGGAAGGCATTGTGGCGATTCCTCAAGTATCTAGAACCAGAAATACCATTTGACCCAGCAATCCCGTTACTGGGTATATACCCAAAGGATGATAAATAATTTTACTATAAACACACACGCACACATATTGCATGTGTCTTTATAGTACTATTACAGAACTAGTAATAGTATACTATTACTATTGCAGCACTTTTTACAATAGCAAAGACTTGGAACCAACCCAAATGCCCATAAATGATAGAGTGGATAAAGAAAATGTGGCACATATATACCATAGAACACTATGCAGCCATAAAAAAGAATGAGTTCATGTCCTTTGCAGGGACATGGATGAAGCTGGAAGCCATCATTCTCAGCAAACTAACACAGGAACAGAAAACCAAACATTGCATGTTCTCGTTCATAAGTGGGAGTTGAAAAATGAGAACACATCGACACAGGGAGGGGAACATCACACACTGGGGCCTATAGGGAGGTGAGGGGTAAGGGGAGGGAAAGCATTAGGACAAATACCTAATGCATGTGGGGCTTAAAACTTAGATGACGGGTTCGTAGGTGCAGCAAACCACCATGGCACATGTATACCTATGTAACAAACCTGCACGTTCTGTACATGTACCTCAGAACTTAAATGAAAAGAAAAAAAAGAGTTGATCCAAAAGAAAAAAAAGAAAGCCCCCTTGTTGGCATCTAGAGAAAAGAGAGAAGCCTGTGTACTTGGCTGCAGAAGTTTGGAGTGGAGTCTGCCTGACTGAGTTGGGAGGGGAGTAAAAGGGATCCGTCTTGCTTCAAATGCCACAGACACTTACCTTTCTTAACGAATTTTCATAGATTTTTTTGAATAAATGTTTCTTCATGTTCTGCTTGCCTTTAGACCCACTTCTAGAGGGTCTAGAGTGTTGTTATTTTAAAAGTAATTTTCACCAACTTTACCATAGTGTGGTTCAGCCTAACACCTCACACTGTCACTCCAGAATTTGATCCCTGATCTGCTCTCTTTTAAAAGGTAATTACTTATTCAAACATAAGATCCACATTTATACACTAAATATCTTATTTTGTTAACATCCTTCCCCACACAACATTCTCTTTCCAACTTATTTTAAGAGCAGATGGTTGAACAGAGCAAATAGACTTTAATATGACAAGGTATTATTGATTAGTAACTGATAAATAGCTATCTACTTAATTTCTGGCAAAACAGTAGAAAGAGGACTGGAACATGGATCCAAAAAATTGGAACATTTTCTAAATATGTGTCTTTATGGAAAACTTCAAAACATCTTCTTAGCCTCAGTCTCTCCAACTCCAAAATAATAAAGTTTAAGATCTGTGATTCTTTCCATAGCTTTAATTTACATATTCTAGCAAGTTTTATTATAATTTCCATTTCCAATAAAAGTTCTTTCTAAATTCTGAAAGAAATATTAAATGCTCATAGGACAGCCCATGTAAAAATCTGCAGAGTGGGATAATATAGAATATTACCATGAGAAGTTAGAAAATAATGATGCTGTTTAAGAGGATAAGTTATAACAAAGCCCACAGAGCAAGATGTGTAAGTCTTGGAGTCTGTAACATATTTTATGGAGAAGTAGTTTGCCAAGACTGAAAACAATCATCTTGTCATCAGTTATGTGAGCCTGGAGTAAAAAAAAAAAAAAAAAAAAAAAAAAAAAAAAAAAAAAAAAAAAAAAAAAATTAAAGAAATTATCAAAAGTACTTGGCATTTTATTAGTTTGGAGATTTTATATATTTATTTGTGTTTGTAAGAATGGAAGGATGTTTTTCTAAATTTCATGGGCACATTGGATGTAGGAAAGCTCATTTATCAACAGATAATCAAATTACTCAAGATCCGTACAAAATAAAGTATAAAGTAAGTAATTAATTTTTCACTGTCTTCTCCATAAAACCAAATTGTAGTGGCCTTCAAATAAATATAAGCTCCTTATGAATGTTTGTTTAAGAATTAGGTATAAAATTCTCACCATAGGGAAATAAAAGTTTATATCTGCATTTATTATCTATGAAAGGAAACTGGGTTTTATTTACAAAAAGAACTAGAGTAATTACATAGAAAATGTGGATTCTGTATTTGTCTTCCTGCACCTTTCTAGGTACTTGGAGAAATTTGCAAAAAAAAAAAAAAGTATCTGTTTTATTAGAATTATTCAGAAAATTCTTCTAGCCACTTTTGTAATATGCAGAAACGTAGGGTTGTATATATGCTAAAATGAATAATGTCACTAGATAGACTATGACAACTAGCCTTAAGTACTACATTTTTACAATCAATGACACAAAAGTTTGAACTTTGAAGATTTCACGTTTTTTACACTAATTATTCTCTAAGTCTGAAAAAGGGGCACATTTTAGATATAGCATTTCTGAAGCTTACTGCTTATTAATAAATCTTGTCCTGTGAAGTTTTTTCAATTTCTGCTAGGAATGTTTGCCAGGAAAATGGCAGTAATTATGAGAGTATATGAGTGCCTGGCTGCAGAAAACTTTAGTAATTATTCCCAATACAACATTTCAGCTAGCTCAGAAATGATTTTAATTTGAATGTCCAAAGAAGAAATTTAGAAATATCTGTTTCTGTCTTAATGGAAGTATTAAATCTCTTATAATAATCACATTTATATGCTCATAGCCCATTTCTTCAAAGGTGTGTAAAGAGTCGTAAATGAACTCCATTGACCTGGGGTAGCAATTTTTGTTAAAGCCGCATTTAGCAAGACCTGCTCCAGTGGTCAGCAAGCTCAGTCACAAAGTCAAATGACTCAAGTGAAGTCCACAGTTGGTCAGAGGAAAGACCTGACCAGCAAGAAATTTAACTTTGGTTAAAGATAAATAGTTTATAATTCCTTTTCCACAAGCAATTAAAGTAAGATTAGTTTGCATGTTTTTAGCAAAGGAATTAACTTATTCTAAAATGCTAAGCATATTTCTTTAATGCCTAATAGAAGTCACTGTAATGGTTAATTATATGTATTAACATGGCTATGGCATTCAAATATTTGGTCAAACACAAGCCCGAATGTTTCTGTGAATCCTTTTTGCTGTTGTTGTTGTTTTTTTTAATTTTTAGATTTTTTCTCTCCCTTTCTATAGAAACACACACCCTGTTAGTTCTGTTTCTCTGTGTAACCCTGACTCATGCAGCCACCACTCCCTGAATTAGAAGAGAAGTAGCTAAAAATGTTGGAGGCATGTTTCAGATGTGGGAAGACAACTGCTATCCCAGCTTCTGAGATGACATCCTGTTTTCTCACCTGTGTGAAACTTTGTTTTTAACTATCTTATAAAAAGAAATGATGAAAGTATAAAAAAAAATATTATTGGAGATTAAAGAAAACCAAAAAATAAAATAGTCAACTGGCTAAAATTAAAAGCAAAAGAGATATCAAGAAATAAGGACTCTGGTAAAGGAAGTGAGAAATTTTACAAAAGAAATTATTGTGGTTTATAGAAATCTGTGTGTATAAAGTAGACTATCTCTACTTGAGATAGTTCTTGAGTTAAAAGAGAAAGCTAGGTACTGAGGCAGGAGAATAGGGCCTGGATGCAGGGAACCTAAGGACTTCCCCAAACTAAATCAAATGGAAACACTTAAGCTATGACAGGAAATATCCTCTTCATTTACATAGGGCATACATAGAGTAAATGACTTTGTAACTTCATTTCATCCTCTTATAGGGTGTATACCATATACATAACTTTGTAACTTCACTTTAGCCTCTTTATTTACAAAAGGCGTATACCCATTAATCAGTGGAAACCTCTAAAGGTTGTTTAAATCACAGAAAATTCTCTATCCGGAATGTTGAGCCCCGGTGCTAAGGCCCGCTCCCACCCTGTGGAGTGTACTTTCATTTACAATAAATCTCTGCTTTTGTTGCTTCACCTTTTCTTGTTGTGTTTCTGCCTTTTGCCCAATTCTTTGTTCAAGATGCCAAGAATGTGGACACCCTTCACTGGTAACAGTATAACCAACTGTGTGCCTATAAATCACTGGAAATGAGAGCATATCTGATATGTAGCATTTGCCAACTTCTGTAGTGTAAATACTCCCACCATCATCAATTTCAAGCTACTAATTTGAAGTCACTGAACACAGACCTGCAAAACACACAAGAAATTGCAATAAGGAGCCAACTTCAGAAGCCCATGAGGGTATAGCCTTACTTCTGACCTGGGGACTCTGTGCATGAGTAGGAGAAAATTCTCACATTTTAGCCCTTGTCTTATTTCCCATTGTCTAAAGTAGATGGCTAACTTAGTGATAAAGGAAAAAAATAATCCTTCTTTCAAGGGGTGAGCTCAGGGATAAAATAGAGGCAAAGGTGTTAGACATATCATGTTGTAAACAGAGGAGATCATATTAAACACAGTGAAAGGCATTTGCTCCTGATCAAAATAGAGTTGAAAATATACACAAATCCAAGAACTTCCTTGTGGTCAGATGCAAAAAGAATAATACCAAATATTAGGGCAGTTATTAACATTTCCAGCAGGGTGTTTTGGGGGAGTAAGGAGTTAAAAAGCACCATTTCCTAATTTGCTGTCACATTTTGCTTCAAAAAGTTTTTCTGTATCTGTTTAACAGGTCATTATTCCAAAGGAGAACTTCATATTGATATGATCTATTTTCTGCCAGGGAAATGGTGGTCAGTAGTGAAATAAAGAATTTGTTCTGTTAAGTAGCCTGTTCTCAACATGGAGGTGATTTCTTTTTCATTAAAAAAAATTGGTTAATATATTCCAGATTTTCAAAACAGAACATACTAAGCAATACTCATGAAATATGGTCGTAGACTTTAAGTACTTTATATTAGCTTTCCTTTAAAAAATCAAATATTTTGATGCTTTTGATCACACAGAAATGGAAAAATGTCACCTTCAGTGCTTTTCAGAAGAGGAAAATAAAGATTGACTTCAGAGTGTGTTTACACTGGTGGTAATATACAGGTGTGCTTATTCACAGGAAACATCTTTTCTCTCACTGCATTAACCTCACTTCTCTCTCCCTCTTCAGTTTTTCTGGGTCCAGTTAGTTCCCTTCTTCTCTATTAATTGTTATTTTCTCATGTGCTATCTCAATCAATGAACCATTTCTCACCACTATAAGAAGCTGAAGTCGCAGATACAGTAGGATATTTTAGACATCAACTTTAGAATTGTTTAAAAACTAAATAAATAAAAAAGGGATTGTCATTTAACTCAGGAATGGAAGAAAGTATCCAGACCACTGCATACTTTAGAGCAGAAATATTTCAATTTAAACAGAAAATGTAGTGAATTAGCCTCATTTTATGGACTTCTCAGAAAAAGAAATAGCTTGCATAAAAGGTAAGGATTGCTTCTTATGCTCTAGGCTTTTACATCAGTAGGAACACTTTAAATTTTCTATTGCATACCTGACTAGAAAATAAAATAAAACCAGTAAGCCATTAAAATACATCTCACCATTTCTTCTTGTCTCAAAGCCTCAAGGTATTAGAGACTATTTCTGTTAGAGGGCCTGCTTAATTAAGAAACTGTTCTACAACATGATGTTTTTTTAAAAATCTGGTATAATCTTTTCTGTTCAAGTAGTGACAGGATGAGGATCAGGAGCTAAAGAAAGCTTAGACAATTCTGTTGCACAATTTGGGAAGACTAGAAAGAAAAACATTTGCATCCCCTTATGTGAAACAGGGGTTGACCAGAAAAAGACAGCAGTTCTAGCTAATACTCATAAGGCTCCTTTCTAGCAGTTAATGAATATAAAGGTGCTGTTTGGGGAGGATAGAAATTCATTTTTTTTTCTCAGCTACCTTCAGCCCTTTTGGGAAAAAAAAAAAAGACTGTGCAGGTCTGTCTAATTCATTTGTTTAGCTAGACCTTGAAGGAAATCAGTTCAAGTAATTACCAGATTATTAACAAAGACAAATGGTCAGATGTTTAAGTCAGACTCTTAATTTTGCCCCTCTTCTCACTATTTTCTATCAACAATCTGCCTTGTAATTCAACTCCTGTGAGCCATGCAGCGAACTGTCACTCAAGTCACACTCATTATATTTCTGGATTTAAGAGAGCTCCCCAAGGTTTTTAATACCTAGTGTGGCTCTTATCTCAAGGAAAATTATGAAATTATGAATATTCAAAACATGGGTAATTAAATTTACTTAAGTATAAATAAATAGCTCATAACAAAGTCTTTTAAAGAAAAGACCAGTAAACCCAAAATGGAGTCACTCATGCTAAAGTTCTGTGTCATCAAACCAAAATCTAACTAATTTACTTGTAAGATCTGACCCTCTGAGAAATCAGGAGAGAGGTAAAAATCAAACCCCATCAAGCCGAGAAGATGTTGCTTATGTCCCTATAACAAAAGTAACCTTGAAGTGAAGTGACCAATCTGCTATTTGTTCCTTGTCTCTGCTTTCCCCTCCTTTTTTTTAACCTATAAAATGCATCCACTCTTTAGCTAGTCAGACCTCTTTTCTGTTTCATAGACTGGATGCTGCCTGGTTCATGAATTACTACTAAAAGCTAATCACATTGTTAAAGCAAACTAAATATGGCCTGAGATGGACTCTGTACTTCTATATTTAAGTCCTTGGGGATGAACTGTAACCTAGCTTAATAGTCAAACAAGATTGAAAACCTAAGTGTAACAATAGCTAAGTCTTGACCAATCCCAGTGGCCATACTTCAACCATTCATACACTGCTGAGTGTTCAAACTGTATTCAAATAAGGCAAACGCCAAGCTGTAACCAATCCAGCCATTCTGTACCTAACTTCCAATTTCTGTACATCATTTCCCTTTTTTTGTCTATAAATCTTCCACCACGTGGCTGCACTGGAGTCTCTGTGAACCTGCTATAATTCTGGGGGCCGCCTGATTCACAAATCATTCATTGCTCAATAAAACTTTAAATTTAATGTGGCTGAAGTTTTTCTTTTATCAAAGTCTTTGAAATTTAATGTGTTGAATTTTTTTCTTTGACAAGTGCAACTGTTTATGTCAAAGTAAGTTTGAAAAGTTCTTTCCTCCAAATAAAAAGGACAACTGTCACAAAATCCAGGAAGTTTAATATGAGGGAGGGACAGAGACCCAACAGTCAGAACTGAGAGCTAATAGGCTGTATTGTGAAACAGAAATTACAGAGTGGTGAAAGGGAACAAGAGGAGAAATCAGAAATCAGACAGAAGATTTTATAAAATGTCCTTTTAAAACACAGAGGTTATATTATATTTTGTTAAAGGATAATTTTAAAAAAGAAGTCATGACTCTCACATAAAACAAACACATATTAAAGATTTTACTTAATAATGGGAGAGCTGATAAAATGTTACATACAGTTCTGAAATGTTGGTGAGGTAAAAGAGGCAATAATGAGGTTAAATCATGGGGAGAAATCCTTAGGATTTGGAAAATAGACTTCGGAGTATAGAGAAGGAAAAATATATTTCCTCTACCATTCTAAATTCTGGGTTGGGACTCCCTGTAATAAAAGATGGATCAACAGGGAAAAACAAGCAGAAGTGTATTAACCTGTAAATTTCATATACATATATGAAAAAATGCAGGTAAAAAGTGCCTCTCGGAGAGATGGTTTAGCCTTGTCCCTTATATACCATCTTCTACAAAGAACAATAAATCTTTAAAGAAGTTACAAGAGAAAGGAAGAGAATCTTGAGTCCTAGTCCAGTGGGAGCAAATTATAGGAAGGCAAATCTATGAGAAATTAACGGTAGATATAGGATATTTAGGAAAGTGTGTTATGTAGCTTCCTCAGATGCAGTCTTCAGGCTGATAGGGGCCTAATATTGTCTCCAGTGATCAACCTCTGTCTTTCCAGTAGAGAGGGGAGGAAGGATAGTTTTGTAAATTTATGCCCTGCTTTAGTCAAATGGGGAGGGCAGAGAGCTTTCCTTCTTGTATCTGCATCTTCTCTATTGCCTTCAGCTCAAAGTAAGCCTTATGCCAAAGTGGCTTATTTTGACATGAGGCTTATTTTGTGGTGGCATATTCTGCCACCTTTCAGGGGCCAGACAGACTTGGTATTAAATTCCAGCTCATCTACTCTGTATCTACTGTGAGTGCTGTCAGTGTGGGCATGTTATTTTGTATCTCTAATGCCTCAGTTCCTTTTTCCATGTACAACGCTGGGTTGTATAAAATGGAATAAAATCAATGGAAGTTCCAAAATTTCTATATAGCAAGAGTTTAAGAAAAACTACATGCTTCACAACTTGATGCGAAGCTCTGTGTCTGTGTGTGTGTGTGTGTGTGTGTGTGTGTGTGTGTGTGCGGGCGCGCATGAACTCATGCAAATACATGCATGTATTTAGGGAGTTTGTTGAGATGAGTGAAAATTGGAGAGACCGTGGGCTCCCAGCTGTTCTTGGTTATTCTATGAAATAAGAATGCACGTCAAAAGGCCAAGAAGTTTCTATCATATTGTGAAAATTCCATCAATCTATTGTAGCAGATGTACTCTTTTCTAAAGTGATAATGATCACGAGATCAGTAAATCAAGATTAACTGAAGCAGGTAATCTTTAAAAATTATACACACCTAAATTTAAATATTTTGTTTCATGACAACACACTACATGCATTTAGCAATCATTTTGTAGGGCCAAGATTTGTTCTCTAACTGTTGTTGCTGATCAAAATTTTATTGACCTAGAGTGAAATGAGATTTAATGACATGTAAAGTACTATACTGAATATAGATGCCACCAAAATGTTATAATTTTTCTCTCCATACATTTGCAGTCATCTTGCTCACAGAGTGAATGCAAGTTATGGGACTTGAGGCTCATCTAATTTTGTGTTCTATTTTTTAAAATGATACAAATTTATGAATACGAAGTTAGGCAAGAAAATGAGTATTCATAAAGAGAAAAGCAATCACAAAATTAGAAAATTTCAAACAGCTGACAAATACCACAAAACCACCAAGTGTCCAAATATAGTATTTTCAATAATCAACTGTTTGACATACTCTATAATACTTTTTTTCTACATAATTTTGATTGCCACTTTGGCTACATAATTTTGATTACCTCTTCGTAGGACAATACTTTTGTAATATCACTGATTACACAGAGAGCAAATCACTAAACATTCCTCTAAAATGGTTGATTACAATTTTATTTTTACTATTGAGTTTTCAGCCTTTTTCATTATTAGTAATGGAAAACATATTTAGGATTATTATGAAATTCATGTAGAACATTTTAAGTTTTATGAAATACTGGTTAAGTACTCTGAATTGACAACACATATTAAGCAGGTTTTAAGTATGTCCTTGATATTGTGAAATTATATGAGTTTGACAGGTCTGAGGATTCGAAGCCTTCCACCGACTAGCTTTCAGCTTTGTGCATTTCACATTTACCCACATACTTCTTGTGCCAAGCACCACAGTATGCATTGCAGTCCCAATATGCAATCTTCCCTTTAACGTGCCTTGAGTCGGCACAATGAACCTTAGTACTCTTCTTGGAAGTCTTTCTTACAGTAGGATAGTTAATAATAACTTCACATATGGGCAAGCAAAATGTAATTGCAAGCAACAAAAATATATTGCACGAAACCTGGACTACTGTACCCCAACTTAGCCCCTTAGTTATAACTCAACAGCTGCCACCTTCCAAGAGCACATATTTGGGGGTGAAGCATAGTACAAGGCAAATTGCAGTGGAACACCCAGAGGGCTTAACTGATGGTAGTTGACATATCTTACTTTTACAAATTGTACAAAAACACATTGCTAGGGTCTCCCCCAGGCCTTGAAAGGAAACTGCCTGTGAGAGGCCCTAAAACTTAAGTTTTGTTCCCTTCCTGCTAACTTTGCCGCTGCTCATTACTAATTTAGAAGTAATATTCTAAAGCAACTTAGCTTTATCTGTTCTTTCTAAGGTGTTATAATTTGTTTTCATAGAAGAAGAAATTATTTTGTAAATTTCATCTGTGTTTGCAATACTTAGTGAAATTGCCTACAAATAATAATACATATTAAAGGCACAACATATTGATTTGATGACAAATACAATCAATTCTCTGTGTAGGTATGGAAACGAATTGTGGTATATACACACAATGGAATATTTACTACTCAAAAGTAAAACTAAATACATTGTTGATACATGCAACAACATGGATAATTCCTAAAATAATTATGCTGAGTGAAAGAAGCCAGACAGAAAAAGAGTATACAAGTATGATTCTACTTGTGTAACACTTTAGAACATAGGGGCTATAATCACAGAAATCCGATGAGTGATGGCCTGAGGACTGGGAGAGGGGTAGTAGGAGAGATTACAAATGTGCAAGAAAATACTTCTGGTTGTGATAGATATATTTACTATCTAGACTGTGTGATGGTTTCTGAGCTTACATGTGTGTCAAGACTTATTAAATGGTCTACTTTAAATATATTCAGACTTTCATATGCCAATAATATCTCAATAAAGCTGTTTAAAAAGTGTTAAGCTTTCTTGTTAAGGGACAAAAGAAATTGTACATCAAAGACACTGCAGTACCTAAGAAATATGTCCCAGAAAGAACCAGGAGTCAGTGCCTGGGAGTAGATGCTTAGGTGCTGTTTCAGGGAGGCTGAAGAGAAGCCTAAATAAGTAAAAGTGCTTTGATATGGGGACACTCTACCATTACACAGGATTTAACACCCTGGCAAGTTCCCTAGGTACAAGATCTAAGATATCACTGGGATGGCTCTTAAGAAGCTTGGAAGAAGCAATAGCCCACATTAAATAAAGTAAAGACTGTGGCAGACAGTGTAGTAAGGAATCGAAATACTCAGAGAAGAAGGCATGTTACCACTTAAGTTCAGAAAAATCTACCAGGTAATCTTCAGGCTCAACAGTTCTGAGATACTGTGTACCAAGGCAATAAGAAACTTGCAGGTAAATGGGTCACCACTGTTAATGAAAAGCTCAATGGTACATGCCCTGTGTAAGATAAGGATAATGGTTGGAAACACTATTACAAAACTGAGCTCCATGGTAACAAAGGAGATGACAGAATCTTTTGTGTCCATACCTTGTTTTAACTGTAAATGGGCAAATATAAGAACCATGACTGATATGGTTTGGCTGTGTCTCCACCCAATCTCATCTTGAATTGTAGTTCCCATAATCTTCACATTTCATGGGAGGGACCCTGTGGGAGGTAATTTAGTCATGACAGTGGTTATCCTTGTGCTATTCTCATGATACTGAGTGACTGCTAGTGAGATCTGATGGTTTTATAAGGGGCTTTTACCCCTTCTGCTCAGCATTTCTTCCTGACTTCATGTGAAGAAGGACATATTGCTTCCCCTTCTGCCCTGATAGTAAATTTCCTGAAGCCTCCCCAGCCATGCAGAAATGTGAGTCATTAAACCTCTTTTTTTTTAAAATAAATTATCGAGTCTCGGGTATTTCCTCATAGCAGTGTGAGAACAGATTAATACAATGATTGATAAGGGGATGGATATTTAATGCTTAGACCTCTCAGGAGTTAAGAAATGGTTTATCTCATTAGGCAAGACACCTTGATTAAGTAGCCAATGGAGGAGGAGTGTGTAGCATGGGAAGGCAGAAAGGTCTAATTAAAAAAAAAAATCTCTCTCTCTCTCTCTCTCTCTCTGTCTGTCTGTCTGTCTCTCTCTCTCTCTCTCTCTCTCTCTGTGTGTGTGTGTGTGTGTGTGTGTGTGTGTATATATATATATAACTACTACTGCAGTTATTTCAAATATATTTGATGGCCTCTGAAATAACTGCAGTAGTAGTACTTGTAGTTTCTCACAATAACACACTTCCTGTAAGTTTTCCAATAAATGATGCCAGCCAGAATCTGGAAGAGGCAGAGTCTGGATGAAATAAGCTCAATATAAGAAGGAAGTGGGCCAGTCATGGTGGCTCACACCTATAATCCCAGCACTTTGGGAGACTGAAGCGGGTGTATCACTTGAGCCCAGGAATTTGAGACTAGCCTGGGCAACATAGCAAAAGCCTGTCCCTACAAAAATACAAAAATCAGCCAAGTGCGGTGGCACATGCTTGTAGTCCCAGCTACATAGGAGACTGAGATGGGAGGAGTACTTGAGCCCAGGAGGTTGAGCCTACAGTGAGCTGTGATCATGCCATTGCACTCCAGCCTGGGCAACAGAGTGACACCCTGTCTCAAAATAAACAAATAAATAAATAAGAAAGTGGATCAAACCAATGCAAATATTGGACTGTAGTAGTTGCTGTTGGTGCTCTACTCAGATATGCTGTGAGCATTGGCTGCGGACAACTTTGAGATGCCCATTTGCCAGAATTGCTTAAGTGGGGATATAAAGGTTCCTTGTCCCAAGGTTGGAGTAATTCTGTGGTACCATTCATAGGATCAGATGGAAACTCACCTGCAGCTGAGAGCATGTCCCCACTTAACTTTCTTCTTTCTATCCTGCTTTCTCACTCCCCTTCTCCAAACATCACATTCTCAAGAATCTCCATCTTAGGCTCTATTTCTAGAAAACGTGACATATATGACAATGGGTTTCTGCGTTTTAGTTGTGGTTAAGCTCTGCCAGTTGTTTTAAGGAGGTTTATAGGACGTGTGGGCTAACAAAAATCTGAACTTCAAGGAGACATTTTGGTTTGGAAGCACCAAACCAAAAAAATAACAGTTTTCACATGTCAGTCATCAAAACTTGCATGTCATGTTAAATCAAGAGAATAATCATTTAATAAGAAATGTTTTCACTGGTGATAATATCAATTTATGAAAATGAGGGAAAAATCATTAGTCTTTAAATTTCTAGCTGCTCTGCCTATGAAGTAGCCATTCTTTTATTCCTTTATCTTCCTCATGAACTTGTTATCATTTTATTCTATGGGTTCGCCTTGAATTTGTTCTTTTGCAAGATCAAAGAACCTTCTCTTGGGGTCTAGATCAGGACCTCTTTCCAGTAACATCTTCCTGGTGAGCACTGAAGGGATGATACTGAGGAGACCCCCAACCCAAAGAAAATAGACTGCAGCACTGATTGGCCAACTTTGGGTCAGTGGTAAGGGTACCCAGGTAGAGGATGGGATTGGGCTAGAAGCCCATCTTGGGGATTTTGAGTCTCTCCTAAGACAGAAAGGGTTAAAGGTTCCTCTTAAAAAAAAGGCAGACACTTGACCTAACTTGGGCTCGAGGCCCAACTTAGGAAGGTTAGAGTTCTTCCTAAGATTTAGGGGGTTAGAAGCCCCACTCGGTGAAGTCTCTCTCAGCTAAGAACAGGTTTGGCACTATGGGATGTTAACTGCTACTCTCTTTGGATTAATCTACCTTGTACTTTTTGCTGAGGGCTATGGAATTAGGCATATATGGGACCATGGGACATGGGGAGCTTTTTCCTCCCCAAAAGGGGAAACTTGAGAGCTGTTGGAACTGCTGGAAAATATACCTTCCTGACAAATAAGAGGCCACTTGAACTTTTCAGTGTCACTGAAATGGGTGGGTCTTTCTCTGGCCTCCTTGAGTACCTCACCTTCCCCACCCCGCTACAGGCAATGCTTTTTTTCCTTTCTCTTTTCTATCTTTTATGTTACTCAGGGCAACTGTCTGCTCTTTCATCTTGCCCAGAGACCACATGTTGAAAAATGTCCTTGGGAGCTTGACCTTGTAACCACATGTTGGTACTTTCTCTTGGTCTCCACCTTCCAGGGAACAGGAATTTGGGGGTTCATGTCATAGGTAGCCCTAAAAACTATCTTGAGCAGTTAAAAGCCTTTGCAAGTTCAAATTTGACTGCTCTAGGCTCCTTCTAGGAAGAGCAATGGAAACTGTAGCTTAGTAGCTAGAGCTCATTGGTTTCACCTGTGAGGTTACTTTTGGTAAAGGTCAAAAGCCAGAAATATTGGAGGTTTGGTGTGGCTAAAGTCAGGTAAATAAGAAATTTAAAAGTATTTTTTTAAAGAGTGGTATGGTTAAAAGTCAGCTTAATTAAAAGTGGATATTCAAGCTCTAACAGCCTGGGACTCCTTAGGGAAAACAGAGGAGGTGCCACAGACCCCGTTTTGGAAAAAAAAACTGTTTTCCTCATTCCCCAGGAATTGGAAATGGATTGATCCCTCTAAAAATCTATGGCTTTGTTCTTTTTTGCATTGTATTATCTGACTTTTTTTATTTTTGAGAGTAATCAAAAAATACTTTGCATTATGAGAGAGCTTTGGTGTGTAAACTAAGTAGGAAAGTAGGAAATATACTTTTAGTGAAGGCTAATGGCATTTATCAAGGGATACTTGGCTATTTGCACATTTGGATAAAGAAGCATGCTCTTGGCCACCTAGAAAGTAAGGAAATGTCCCCATCCCCTTCCCCCCACAAAACTGAGAGAGAAGACTTCTTTGGAAGATGGGCTGATTCCCTCTTTTTCAGATCCAGGATCTGATATAAAAGTGGAATCCTTAATTTTAGGGATCTTTTTTGCCTTCCAGCTGTGCCTACTTATTAGGCCATAGAAACTGCATGCTTTTCTAGCCCTATTCCTCCAAGGGCTCCACCCTGAAGCCAGTAATCCAATTAAGAAACTGGCAAATAAAAAAAATCATACAACTACTGGATCTTCATCTATCTGTGTATTTATATGTGTTGTGTGTGTGATATAAAAGAGCTTTGATTAATTGGCTTAAAAATAATAAGTGCTTAAATCAAATATTTTATCAGAAAAGTAAAAAGTGAAATGCCTTTTCATTCACATGACTTAAGTAATATTTGGGAAATAAAAACAGTTGTACATGCAAGGTATTTTTGGAAAGTCAAGTGTGTTTTTGGAAAAAGATAATAAGTCATGGGAGGTGGATTTTTTTTGCCTAGTTTAAACAGTTAAAGGATTGTTTTAAGTTAGATAAGATAAAGCTGAAGGTTTGAACAAGTTGTGCAAGGTTTGTGAAAAATTAACTTTGTAAAAGAAATTCTGTGTGTAAACATTGGCTAAAGTTCAAGTTTTTCCATCAGTTGAATATTTGAATAAAAGCACTGATCTATTCTTTAACCAAAATTGTAAAGGGTTATAGAAAGTTTATGAAAATCTTACCTTATGGTCAAACTGATTAAGATTGGATCGAATTGTCTATAAGGTTTTAGAGAATTGGCTTTAACATTAATAGTACACTAATGTAAAGATAAAATTTGACTTATTTTGTATAAAAATCATACAGGAAACAATGTCAAATATGAAATGGTATTAGACTTTCTTTGGGCTGTATTTATGTAAGTGTGTTATTTGTATATGTTCCAAAATTATGGGAAACTCATATAATTCTGATATGATTTAGTGTGCATTATCAGTAATAATTATAGTTGTTAGTAAAATTTTTGTATGCCACAGAAGTAACCAAAATTCCTTGTCAATTGTGGCTCTAATAGTGGACTTTTTTCATCCATAGACAATTGTTGTCTTATTTTGATCCTCTTTAAAAGGTAGTTTATAATTAGCAATAAGACTAACAGGTACTCTTGAATACAGGTTTCTGATAATTTTGGAGATCAAAACATTAAAATAGAGGAAAAACTTCTGGAACTCTCATGGAGAGCTGGAATGTCCATGAATATTAAGCAGAACAGGAGTTAACTGCATGGACTGAACTGGTGGAAGACTGAAGTAATCTTTTTTAACTTTTGCTTAAAACGTTGCTGATTTCTTGTTATGTTTTTCGGAGCCAAGAAAACATTTATTTTAAGCTATTTACAGCTTGTAGCAATTGAGTAAACTATACTCCTGTGAACAAAATTTGGAGCATATTTGTTTCTTATTACCTGATTTTTCCAGAATTTGGAAACTAGTTGTGAGTATTTTTAACTTATGGCAATATAGCTATTTGCTTAAGTGTAATAAGAATCTGTTTTCATTTGTAACAGGATACAAATGGAGAAACTGGTTATTTTACCATGGCTTTGACTGGAATGGTGTGCTTTCCTTTAAGGAATCAAACTTGGCTTATAGGGCCAATAAAAGTCCCTTGGGAAAACTGGCCTCATAACTTGTCTATGCAGTCCCTGTGCAAGGTTCCTGACCTGTGGTGAGTAAATAATGTCAGTTTCTGATAGGCCCAGGAGCCCCAAGTTATCTTGGGACCTCAAGAGGAGAATAATTTACCCAAGGCATATAGGTATTTGAGAGTATAAACCCATGGCTGGGCTCGGCATTTTTAAAAATCTTACTTGAGATTCCTTATGGAATGGAGTTCCATCAAAGCTAATTTCAAAAGCCTACGTGAAAAATAATTATTCTTACTGTACTTTATACAAATAATCAGGCCAGGTATAATAAAACAAATCAGTCCTCTCATGATTTGTCTTTAATAAAAATGAGGGCTGGAATAAAAAATATGTTTCTAGAGCTATGGTACACCTGTTATTAGATTCTAGCCTCGTCAGTTGTTTTTGAGTTTTTTTCTGCAATTGAGACTAACACTGCTTATTTTTGTGAATCAACCGGTGATCTTTGGCTTCTGCTCAGAAGAAGCAAGAGATAAAGTTACTCCATATGGTCTAAAAAGGGGAGGTACTCTCAGTTCCAGAATTTCTCACACCTTTCCCAGAAAACTCATGAATAATCTACCCCTTGTTTAGCATATAATCAAGAAATAACCACAAAAATGGACAACCAGCAGCCCTCAAGACTGCTCTGCCTGTGGTGTAGCCATTCTTTTATTCCTTTACTTTCCTAATAAACTTGCTTTCACTTTATAAAAAAATCAGTATTTTAATTCTGGGCACATATTGGAATCAGCTAACGACTCCACATTAGCTTGGTTCCAGTGATTTCCCAGTTCATGGAAAGCCTTTTTATTTAGTTTACTTGGGATAATTTTACTTATTTTGTTTTACTGCTGTGGAATATATTGCTGCTGTATTCTGTGTAGGAATGCAAGATAAGCTTACTGAATGTTTTCTTAAACTGAACGCTTATTAGTCTTCGAGATACCACCTTTTGTTGGTACTAGGAGTCAAAAATTGCCCTCAGCATACTGATGCTTTCTGACTGAGCCTCTCTCCACCCTGAATACAAGAGACCCTAATAGTTAGGGAGGAATATCATCTCCCCTATTCAGCTTGAAGAAGTTAGAGAAGATGGATCTTCATCCCTCTGCAATTCTTAGGATTAAAGGTTCCCTTGTAAAAGGGAGGGGGTAAATATGTCAGAGGCATTTAAACCAGAGCAACTCCATCTTGAATAAGGGCTGGCTAAAATAAGGCTGAGACCCACTGGGCGGCATTCCCAGGAGGTCAGGAATTCTCAGTCACAGAATGAGATAGGAGGTTGGCACAAGATATAGGTCACAAAGACCTTGCTGATAAAACAGCATGAGGTAAAGAAACCAGCCAAAACCAAGATGGTCACAAAAGTGACCTCTGTTCACCCTCACTGCTCTTTATATGCTAGTTATAATGTATTAGCATGCTAAAAGACACTCCCACCAGTGCCATGACCATTTACAAATGCCATGGCAATGCCAGGAAGTTACTCCATATGGTCTATAATGGGGAGGAACCCTCAGTTCTGGGAACTGCCACTCCTTTCCCAGAAAACTCATGAACAATCCACCCCTTGTTTAGCGTAAAATCAAGAAATAACCACAAAAATGGGCAACCAGCTGCCCTCAAAGCTGCTCTTCCTACAGAATAGCCACTTTTATTCCTTTATTTTCCTAATAAACTTGCTTTCACTTTATTAAAAAAAAAATTCTTTTTTAGAGCAATTGTTTTTGTAAGTGTTAGGTTGATAAGATGCTAAAATACCAGCAATTAACTTTTCGTTTTCATTTGTGGCTGTCACTCCCAAGGGAACACAAAGGCTCTTGCCTTGTATGTAGTGTGCTCAGCTTGTTGTGCCTTCATCTGTCAACTGTGTGTCCAATCTGTTGTGTCTCAGGGAACCAGATCTCACAAGGCCTGCCATTTACACATTATTCAAAAGCATTATTCGTTTTTCAAACAATCTGTTTAAAAGAATCGCTAATGAGATGTGAAAAATACCTCATTATGATACACTTGGGCAATGCAGTGTGAAAATAATTCTATAAACTAATATCAAACTTGCTGAGTAGATGAATAACTGTATACTCAATTTTTACATTTCCTTATAAAAGTAAAAATTAGGCATATACTAAATGTCCAATAACAGTAAGTTCATTTAATAAATTATGACAAATTCAATTTAAAGAGTATTTCATAGCCATTAAAATCAGGCTGGGAAAATATGTAATGATGTGGGAACACTAAGTGTTGAGTGGGAAAAAGTTACATAATAATATGAAAATTTGATTTTTACATATAAATTTAAATTAGAAGATATATATGTGCATGTGTATATGTACTATATGTACTGAACTAGCATAGAAACAGTAAAAAGTAAGAGATAAAAAAAGAAGAATCTATGGGACTAAAACTAATTACGGTTTTAGTAATAAAAAAAGGATTATTAATAGGTGTCCTTAATACCTAAGAAGAAGTTACATAGCAAGGAAAACTTTTGGAACTAGGTTAATAGTGCCCCTAAATTTATTTTACTAGTCAGTGCTCAGAGACCTGCTCTAGTTAGCTTAAACAGAAGTAAAGGGATTGCATTTCTGTGTAGGACAACACCGCTTTCTGCAAACTTTAGGAAAAAGCCAGATAACTTACAGAACTAATATAATTTTAAAAGCATCAGATAGTTATAGAATAAATGAAATCAATCACATAAGCCTGCCAAAACTACAATTCCAGAGAGAGGAGAACCCTTCCTAGGTGAGCTGTGAGTGAATTGTTGCTAGCTGTTTGCCTATCCAGGGACATTTGCCAATCATGTGCATAAGCTGAGAATTGGGCATGACCCTGAAAAACCCCAGGGTGGGGGAAAGAAAAACACAAAAAATTTAACGGTCAAATGGACTGAAAAAAGTGGGGGAGGGAACATGATCAACCTCAAATATTTGTTCTGTTTTATTCACAAGGCATTTGGTGAATTCTGTGGCTGCAACGGAGGCTAGAAAGATAAGGTAAGGACTTTTCACAGTAGGCAGATTCCAAAGATCCCCTCGGCATGAATTCTCTTCCCCTGGTTATTCAATCAAACACTAATTTAGGTGCTGCGGTGAAGGGGATTGACATGTGGAATTAAGCATACACTGACCTTAAAGTTGGGATAGTATCCTGGATTATCCAGATGAGCCTGTGAAACCAGAAGAAAAATGCAGAGGAGTCTTGAGAGAAATGTGGTGGAAGAAGAAAGCAGGGGGAGATGAGGCAGAAGGAGAGATCATTTTCTAAACATGAAAGCACTCGATCTAAACATGGAAGCACTCTACCCCCTACTGCTGGTTTTGAAGATAAAGGAAGAGGGACACACATCAAGGAATGCAGGTGGCCTCTCAAGTCTCTCAAAGCTGAAAACAACCCCCAGCTGACAGCCAGTGAGAAAATGCGGACGGGTCCGGTGCAGTGGCTCACGTCTGTAATCCCAGCACTTTGGAAGGCCAAGGCGGTAGATCACCTGAGGTCAGGAGTTCAAGACTAGCCTGGCCCACATGATGAAAACGTGTCTCTACTAAAAATACAAAAATTAGCTGGGCATGGTGGTGCATGCCTGTAATCCCGGCCACTCGGGAAGCTGAGGCAAGAGAATCTCTTGAACCTGGGAGGCAGAGGTTGCAGTGAGCCGAGACTGAGACACTGCACTCCAGCCTGGGTGATAGAGTGAGACTCCACCTCAAATAAAAAAAGAAGGGAAGGAAATGGGGACCACCAGAAGCTGAACTCTGCCACCAACTTGGATGAGTCTGGAAGTAGACTTTCTCAGTCTCCAGAAAGGAACAAGGCACTGCAAACACCTTGATCTTGGCCTTGTGAAAACCAAAGGAGGGAACCAGCTGAGTCACCCTAAGCCTGGATGTATGACTGAGGCAACTCTGAGATGATAAATGGATATCATCTTAAACCACTAACAATATGCTCATTTATTTGACAGCAATCAGAAAATAATACAGATTTTAATGCCAAGAGTGCTATGTCACTGTAACAAATACGTAAAAACATGGAGGTGGCTTTGGAATTAGACATTGAGGAAGAACTTTCAGGAACACTGTAGAAAAGGCCTTTAACACCTTGAATAGACTATCAGTAAAAATATACATGTCAAAAATGCTGTGGTGAGAGCTGAAAAGGAAAGGAAAAATATGTTATTAGAAGCAAGAGAAAGGGGGATCCTTGTTATATACCTGTAGGAGTTCAGAGGAGGAGTGTCTTATATGTATGTAAGAAGCAGAACTTGGATTTTCAGCTGAGGAGATTTGCAGCATAGTGCTGTAGAGACAGCCTGTTGCCTTCTTACTGCTTATAGCAGGATGCCAGAGAAGGAAGAGAAACTGAGGGAACTGTTAAAGAAAATGGAGCTAGGACTTTATAATTTGAGAAATCAGCCTATCTGGACAGCAAAAGATGCTAAAATTAAGAAATTTGCTGCCTAGAAAGGGTCCTCTTTTGTGTGTGACGCGGCCTTGCTCTTTTACCCAGGCCCTCACTACCTTCCCTATGAGGTGGCATGATCACAGCTCACTGCAGGCTTGACCTTCCAGGCTCAAGTGATCCTACTCCCATCTTAGCCTCCCAAGAATCTGGGGCTACAGGCATGCACTGCCATGCCTGGTTAAGTAGTTTTAAAAAGTTTTTGTAGTGATGGGGTCTTGCTATGTTGCCCAGGCTGGTCTCAAATTCCTGGGCCCAAGTGATCCTCCTGCCTTGGCCTCCCAAAGTTCTAGAATTATGGGTGTAAGAGCAACCACACTCAGCCTAGAAAGGGTGCTTAAAAAAAAAAAGCCTGGGGTGTGACTCTATAACACTTTCTTGAAAGCACAAAAAGATCAAAAGCTCAGAGGGATGCTGTGGAAAAACCATTAGGACCATGAGGCAGAAGGATCAGTTTGAGAGATTTGAGTTATGAGAAGGACTCATTCCGCTACTGCTGGCTTTGAGAATGGAGAAAGGGGACCATGAGCCAGGGAACATGGGTGTCGCCTGGGAGCTCAGAGCAACCCCAGTCAACAGCCAGCAAGAAGACCTTCGTCCACAACCACATAGAGCTGAATCCTGCTGATAACTTCCATGAGCTTGAAAGTGAATTATTCTCAGGCCAGGCAGCATCTTGACTTTGTTATGACACAGTCGTGAGGAGAGAAGCAGAACACACTGCCAGATTTTAGACCTATAGAATTGTACAATAGAAAGTGTTGTGGTGTTAAGCTGCTAAATTTTGGGTAACTTGTTCAGCAGCATTAGAAAACTAATACACTTCTATTCCACGGTTTTGCAGCCTTAGGTACAAAAACATAACTAAGAATAAAAAGAAAAACAAGGCAATAAAGGCAAATCCATAGTTAATCCAGATGTTGAAGTAATAGACACGGACTTGCAATGATTACTATGATAGAGAAATTAGGGGAAAATATGGGCAAAGTGGATGACAAGAGAAAGAATTTTTACAAAATATTGGAATACGTAAAGAATCAAATGGACATTCCAGAATTGAAGATGCAATAAAAAAATTAAAAAGTAAATGCATAGATTTGACAGCACATTAGATATAATCAACTGTAGGATTAGTGAATCAAATGATAGGACTACAAATAATATCTAAATTGAAGAGAATAGAGAAATAACAGCAGAAAAATAAAGAGAATATAGCCTAAATCCATGTGAAATAAACTCCAAATTTCTAGCAAGTAAATATATGGAACTCTTCGAATGAGAGAAGAGAGAAAAGGGGGCAAAATCACTGTTCAAAAGATAATAAATGGAAATTTCACAAAAATTATGAAAGATATTAGCCTACAGATTCATTACATCTAGAAGCACCAAGAGATAAGCTAACAAAACAAAACATACACATTTAGCACATCCAATTTAAAATGTTGAATACTGATTAAAAGTAGACTGACTAAAAGGCTACATTATCTTCATGAAGAAATAATTAGTTAAGTAACTGCCTTTTCAAAAATATTATCAAAGTCTGAAAAATTTTATCTTGTTTTTGTTTTTTTACTGGGGATGGGGGACTACTAACCTAGAATTTGATACTCAGCAAAAAATAATCTTCATAATACAGATGAAATAAAATTGTGTCCAATAAACAAGAGCTGACAGAAATAGAAACCAGGAAACCTGCATTATAAGAATATTTAAAGGAATTATTTAGGCTGAATGAAAATGATCCCAGATGAAAGTACAGACTGTAAAAAAGAATAGAGTACAAAAATTGATAAATATGTGAATAAAAGCAATATTGGATTTGCAAAATAATTTAAGTAATATCTTAAAAAATATACATGAACAATATGCACGACAATTATGTAACAACCAGAGAGGGCTATAAATTGAGTTAAGGTTCTAAGGTCCTAGCAATATAGAAATAGAGATTATATGTAACAACCAGAGAGGCCTATAAATTGAGTTAAGGTTCTAAGATCCTAGCAATATAGAAATACAGGTTAAAGTAAATGTTTATATGAGATTATAACAAATCATGGGTGAATGTGGCAACGTATAAGGTGACCAGTGAGAGAATAGTAAAATAATGTGCTTCCAACAAGTTCATAGAAGAAAATAAAATGACAGCAAATATATGTGATTAATCCTTTAAAAAATGGGCAAGAATTGAGAAAAAGACAAATATAAGATTTGAGCCAATTCCAAATGCAATTACAGAAAAATTGCAAAAATAGTACTGAAAGTCCCCATATATTACACACTCAAGTTCTCCTTCATCTTACTTTAATGTATTTGTCACCATCAATGAACTAGTATTGATTGAATTGATTATCATTAAAGCCCATACTTTATTTAGATGTCTATTTTTTGTTGTTGTTCTAGGAGCTCAACCAGGATACCACATTACATTTAGTTGGCTCTTAGGCCAACTGTGGCAATTTTTCAGACATGTTTTATTATTGATAACCTTGACAACTTTGTGGAGAGTTGATTGGGCATTTTATAGAATGCCCTACAACGGCTGTTGGTTGGGGGTTTTTATCATGATTACACTAGAGCTATATATTTAGGATAGGAGGACTAAGATGTAAAGTACCATTCTTAATGCAGCACATCAAGGATATATGCTTTCAACATGATTTATTCCTGTGAATGTTGACCTTGATCACTGGCTAAGGTAGTGTCTGTCAGGTTTCTCCACTCTGGTGTTACTCTTTACTCTCTTTCTCATACTGTACTTTTTGGAAGACAGACACTGTATACAATCTACATTTAAGAGCTACAGAGATAATGCTCCACCTGCTTGAGGGTCGAGTATGTACATGGATCATTTGATATTCTTCTGCATGGGAGGTTTGTCTCTTTTTCCATTTATTTATTTATTCAATCATTATTTCAGTATAGATAAGAATTTTGATTTTATACTTCTAGTTACATTCCAGTATAAATTTGTATGTTTTGTGCAAAAATTGTTCCAGCTGTGGCTCTTTTAGTTGGATTCTATCTCTTTGACATATCCCCATTATTGTGGATTTTTAGTTTAATTTTTTTGGGGTACTTCCTCACTCTGAGACTACAAGCTGCTCTGTGCTCATTTTGTATATTTTCTGTCCCTGTCCTAGAATCAACCATTTATTTAAGGAGCCCGGACTATTATTATTATTACTATTACAGAATGGTATTAGAAACCAAGATATGGTGCCAGATGTGTTTATTATTACTGGGATATTGCTCTTTCTAGATCCTCTGAGCTGACAGATCAAAGAACCCTAGTATTCAACAATTATTTCTTTATGTAACCATCTGTACCTATATTATGTTAAGCATGAGTTTCTGTTGATATCTCCAACTCTATTACCGCATGGATCATTCTAGACTCTTCTCTTATTTGTCTGTAAACTACCAATACCAAGAGTGTGAAAACTAATTTTAAGCGTCTGACATTTATTTTCTTATTGTTCAATTCCAATACATATGTATAGTGGTATCAGAACTGTTAACCCATACTATGGGAAACAACTTTATCAATTAGGATACAGTGCTTACGCACAGTTTATTTTACTTTTACAGAGTTCCTTTATTGTTGAAGTTTCTTAGGTTAGAAGCTTTTTGCCCCTTCACTAAGGCTCTTTCATACATTTATAATATAGTTAGACTGTTTTCTCACATTCTGCATTGAATCCTGGGATTATTCCCTAACCTCTTGAATATTTTAAAATTTGCATACATGAGGGTTCACTCTTTGTGCTGTAAATTACTATGGGTTTTAGAAAATGCGTAGTGTCATGTACCCAACATACAGTATCATAAATAATGCCATAGTTGAAATGCCAAATAAAATCTCTCATGCTTCACCTTTTAACTCTCTCCCACTTCCCCCCAAACCCATGGCAATCACTGATCTTTTTATCACTTCTATACTGTTACATTTTCCAGAATGTTATATAATTGGAATCATACAGTGTGTAATCTCTTCTGACTTATTTCTTTCATATAACAATATGCATTTAAGATTCATCCATCCATTTTTTTGTGGCTGGATGCTTCAAACTTCTTTTAATCACTGAATAATATTACATTGGATGGATGAATCACAATTTCTTATCCCTACCTATTGAAGAACATTTTGGTTGTTTCAGGTTTTAGGGGATTATAAATAAACCTGCTATAAATATTCATGATTAGGTTTTTGCGTTGGCATACACTTTCAAATCACTTGCACTAAATACCCAGAAGCACACTTGCAGTTTTATATGGTAAGATTATGTTCAGCTTTATAAGAAACTGCCTAATTGCCTTTCAAAGTGACTATAATGTTTTCCATTCCCATCAGCAAAAAATGATAGCTCTTGTTCTTCTGCATTTTCCCCATCAACTGTAATTGACATTTTTTTAAGATTCTATCAATTCTAATAGGTATGTGGTGGTATCATATTTTTGTCCTAATTTCCAATTGCCTAATGACAAATGATGTTGGACAATCTTTCATATATCTATGTATTACCTGCATATCTTCTTTAAAGAGGTGCCTATTCTAATTTTTACCCATTTTTCAATTGGACTGTTTATTTCTTGAGTTCTGAAAGTTATTTGTATGTGGTAGATGCAGATCTTTTGTCACATATGTGTTTTGCAAATGTTATATCCCAGTCTATACTTTACCTTTTAATTTTCTTAATAGCATCTTTCACAGTACAGTTTTTAATTTTAATGAAGTTCAACATATCAGGTTTGTTTTTGTTTTTGTTTTTTTTGAGATGGAGTCTCATTCTGTCACCCAGGCTGGAGTGCAGTGACGTGATCTCAGCTCACTGCAAGCTCTGCCTCCCGAGTTCACGCCATTCGCCTGTCTCAGCCTCCCCAGTAGCTGGGACTACAGGTGCCCGCCACCATGCCCGGCTAATTTTTTGTATTTTTAGTAGAGATGGGGTTTCACCATGTTAGCCAGGATGGTCTCAATCTCCTGAACTCATGATCTGCCCACCTCAGCCTCCCAAAGTGCTGGGATTACAGGTATGAGCCACCGCACCCAGCCCAACATATTGTTTTTAAAGTGGATTGTGGATTTTGGATTTGAAAAAAAAAAAAAAAAACAACTCATTGACAAACAAACCCCAAACAACTGAGATATTTTTCTGTGTTCTCTTTTAGAAGTTTTATAGTTCTGCATTTCACATTTAGACCTATGACTCATTTTGAGTTGGTATTTGTTAAATGTGTAAGGTCTGTGTCTCTTTATATATATATATTTTTTTAAATATGGATGTCCAATTGTTTTAGAACTATTTGTTCAAAGGCTATCTTTTAGCTATTGAATTGCCTTTGCTTCTGTATTAGTTTCCTAGGAGTGACGTAACAAAGTTACATGGGTTTAAAGAAACAGAAATTTATTATCTCACAATTCTAGAGACTAGGATTCTAAAATCAAGGTATGGGCTAGGTGGTGGTCTTTCTGAAGCTTCTAGAGGAGAATGTTTCACTATATCTTTCAGTTTTTGGTATCCCTGAGTTTTCCATGGCTTGTGACAGCATAGCTCCAATCTCTACATAATTTTTATATTGCTATCATCTCATCTCTTTTTTTACACAACTTTCTCCTCTCTGTGTGTGTTGTGGACAGTTTTCCCTCCTCTTATAAGAATGCCTGCTATATTGAATTAAGGACTACACTAATGACTTCATCTTAACTTCATTAGATTTGCAAAATCTCTGTTTTTAAATAAGGTCACATTCACAGGTAGCAGGGTCTAGGGCTTTAACATGTCTTTGAGGGGCACAGTTCAACCCAGGACAAGAACTACCTCAATTATCTGTTTTTCCTTATGTGAATTTTAGTATTTTCTGTCTCTTAAAGAATTGATTTACTTCATCTGAGTTATAAAATTTCTGGGCATAGAGATGATCTTAGTATTCTTTTCTTTTTCATTGAACATCTGTAGCATCAGTAGTAATGAAACCTCCTTCATTTCTGATAATCATAATTGAGGATCCTTTCTTGGTTAGCCTAACAAGAAGTTTATTAATTTTGATCATTCAA
Organism: Homo sapiens; assembly: GCF_000001405.40. Taxonomy (NCBI): domain Eukaryota; kingdom Metazoa; phylum Chordata; class Mammalia; order Primates; family Hominidae; genus Homo; species Homo sapiens. Next base: position 107,630,625 of record NC_000002.12, read on the forward strand.
AGTGCCACCTTTTAGTTGTGTTGATTATCTCTATTGCTTTCCTGTTTTTTATTTCAGTGGTTTTATTTCTAAATTTTATTATTTTCTTTCTTCTGCATGCTTTAGGTTTAAGTTGCTCTTCTTCCTCTAATTTCCTACCATAGAAGCTTAAATGATTAATTTTAGAAATTTCTCTCTACTTTTATATTTTAAATATTTAACTGACAAATAAAGATTATATATTTTGAAAAAGTGGGCCAGGCCTGGTGGCTTATACCTGTAATCCCAGCACTTTGGGAGGCCAAAGTGGGTGGATTACCTGAGTTCAGGAGTTTGAGTCCAGCCTGGGCAACATGGTGAAATCCCATCCTATAAAAAGTACAAAACTTAGCCTGGAATGGTGGCACATGCCTGTAGTCTCAGCTACTTGGGAGGCCACGGTCAGGGGATTGCTTCAGCCTGACTGGCGAAGGTTGCATTGAGCTGAGATTGTGCCACTGCACTCCAGCCTGGGTAATAGAGCAAGACTCTGCCTCAAAAAAAAAAAAGTGTACAACCTAATGATTGTATATATATAGATATAGATATATATGATATTCTTTTCTAATATATGCTATACATTTTTCTCTATGCACTGCTTTCATTGCATCCTAAAACTTGATAAGTTGTATTTTCATTTTTCTGTAGTTCAAAATATTATATTTTTAAGTTTCTCTGGACATATTTAACTTGTGTGTTATTTAGAAGTTTGATGAACAGTCTCCAAATATTTTGTGGAATTTCCAGTTATCTTTCTGTTATTTGATTTCTAGTTTACATTAATTGTGGCCTGAGAACAAATTTTTAAAAATTTCTCTTTTATAAATTTGTTGACATGTGTTTTGTGGCCTACAATGTGGTCTATCTTGGGGAATCCTTCACAAAAGCTTGAGAAGAATGTGCATTCTCCTGTTGCTAGATGAATTATTCTATAAATCTCAAATACATTAGTAGATCTTCTCAGGTCAACCATATTCTTACTAATTTTCTGCCTACTTTATCTATTAAATACTGAATGTGGGGCATTGAAGTCTCCAATTCTAATAGTGAATTTATTTCTTCCTTCAGTTGACCAGATTTCACCTCACACATTTTGATGCCATGTTGTCAGGTACATACACATTTATGATTGTTATGTCTTCTTTGAGAATTGATCCTTTTATCATTATGTAGTGCCTTGGTTATTCCAGTAAATTTTTCTGGTTCCTGCTTTGTCTGAAATTGATATAACCATTTCAGCTTTCTTTTGATTAGTGCTAGCCTGATATAGCTATTTCCATTTATTTACTTTTAGCTTATCTCAATCTTTATATTTAAAGTTTGTTTCTTGTAGACATCATATAGTTTGTTTTCTTTTGTTAAGTCTATTTTGTCAGTCTCTTTCTCTTGGTGCACTGAGATATTAACCATTTAAATTGATTATTGATATATTAATACTTAAGTTAACCTACCACATGTGTAATGTTTTTTTATTTATTGCACTTATTCTGTTTTTCTCTTTCCTGTTTTTATATCTTCTCTGGTTTTAATTTGGCATGTTTTGTTATTTCATTTATGTCTGCTTTTAACATATTATATTTTTAAAATTTTTTCTAGTATCTTGAGAGTTTCCAATATACATTATAAACCAAGCTTGCCCAAGCCATGGCCTGTTGGCTGCATACAACCCAGGACAGCTTTGAATGAGGCCCAACCCAAATGTGTAAACTTTCTTAAAACATCATGAGATATTTTTGTAATTTTTTTTAGCTCTTCAGCTATCATTGGTGTTATTGTATTTTTTGTGTGGCCAAGACAATTATTCTTCTTCGAATGTGGCCCAGGGAAGTCAAAAGGTTGGACATCCCTGTTTTAAACTAATCTATGACCACCTTCAAATAACAACGTTATTTTACCTGTAACGTTGCTACCAACAGAATATTTTCAATTCTTCCCTTTTTTATGACATTCTAATTATTCATCTTATTTATATTCTAGAATTATACAATATATTATTACTGTTATTGCATTTTAATAGTTATTTTTGGATCAATTAAGTATAAAACAAAATACTTTATTTTACCTTCACTTATTTCTTCTCTGAATTTCTTCCTTTATTTATGTAGATCTGAGATTTTAGCCAAAGCACTTTTTCTCTGAGAACATCTTCATTTTTCCTTCTGGTATAATTTGCTTGAATATGGAACTCTAGTTTGATGTTTTTGTTTTCTCTTGCAATAATTTAAATGTTTTGTTAATATTTTATCCTCTTTCTGCTTGCATAATTCATGATGAGAAGTCTGATGTAATGTTTATTCTTTCCCTGTAAAGGTGATACATACCTCTCTCTGTCCCCACTGGCTATTTTCAGTATTTCCTTCTACCTTTGGTTTCCTGAAGTTTAATATATGTGTAGGTTCAGTTTTTAATTTTGTTTTTTGGGTTTTTGAGGGGAGGAAATACTTACCATTCTTGGTGTTTTTCTTAGCTTCCTGGATCTGTGACTTGATTTTGGTTATCCATTTTGAAAAGTTTTTAGAAACCATTACTTCAAATATTTTTTCTACTCCATTCTTTCTAGCATTGCAATTATGCATGTTACAATTTGGAATTTGTCTCAGAATTCTTGGATGCTCTGTATGGTTTATTCTTTAAATTATTGTTGTTATTATTATTATTATTATTATTGAATTTCAGTTTGGAAACTTTCTATTCACCTGTCTTTGATTTTCGTAATTTTTTTTCCTTTGCTATATCTAGTCTACTAATAAATGCTCTGTATGGTTTATTCTTTAAATTATGATTATTATTAGTATTATTATTGAATTTCAGTTTGGAAACTTTCTATTCACCTGTCTTTGATTTTTGTAATTTTTTTACCTTTGTTATATCTAGTCTACTAATAAATACATCAAAAACATTTTTCATTTTCATAACAGTATTTTTTTTCAGCATTTCTTTTTGATTCTTACTTTGGGTTTCCATTGCTTTGCTTAAATTACTCTTCTGTTCTTGCAGGTTGTCTCCTTTTTCAATTAGAGCCTTTTATATATTTTTCATAGCTATGTTACAGCCCAACAAGTTCTACATGCCTGCTGCACAGATAAAGCCAATACACTGAGACAGTAGTGTTGCAGTAAAGAAAGAGTATACTGCAAGGGAGTCAAGCAGAATGACGGGAGATATTTCTCAAATTCACCTCACCAGGAACTCAGAGGTTGGGTTTTTTAAGGATAATTTGTCTGGAAGGAAGCTAGGGAATGAGTGCTGCTGTTTCACTGGGGGGTGAAATAATAGAAGTGTCAAAAACATTCTGCTGAGTCATTTTCTGGATGGGAGTCACAGGGCCAGTTGAGTAAGTTCCTTGGTATGAGTCATAAGTCTGGAGTCAGTCAGTCGTCAGAATGCAAAAGTCTGAAAAATATCCCAAAGATCAATCTTAGGTTTTACAATATTGATGTTATTTATGGGAGCAATTCGGGGAGTTACAAATCTTGTATACTCCAGCTACCTGACTCCTGAGGAGTAAGAGATTATAGAAAAGCAAGATAGAAAACAATGGCAGGTTATAACTTAACTATGCCTATATTTTAGCAGAATTCATGCCTCTCCCTTAATCTTATCCTGATGATATTTTATTGGTCTACAAAAGCAGTTTCAACCTCTGGAGGGAGTAAGTTTTGGTAAGGGATTATAATTATCTTTGCTTTGAAGCTAAACTGTAAACTATATTACTCCAATAGTTCACTTGGCCTATGTTCAGGAATGAGCAAAGGCAGCTTGTGAGGTTAGAAGCAAGATGGAGCCAGTTATGGTAAATTTCTCACTGTTATATTTTTGGCGAAGGCAGTTTCAGTTATTTTAAATTTTTCATCTGATAATTTCAACATTGATATCACACCTCTGTCTGGTTCTGATGCTTCCTTTGTCTCTTCAGGCTATGTATTTCTTGCCTTTTAGCATGCCTTCTAATTTTTTGTTGAAAGCCAATGTATTAATCCATTTTCACGCTGTTATAAAGATACTACCTGACTAGGTAATTCATAAAGGACAGAGGTTTAATTGACTCACCATTCTGCATGGCTTAGAAGGCCTCAGGAAACTTACAGTCATGGTGGAAGGTGAAGGGGAAGCAAGGTACGTCTTGCAAGGCAGCAGGAGAGAGAGAGAGCTCCCACTTTCTTTTTAAACGACTTTTAAAGCAGCAGATCTGGTGAGAACTTCCTCACCATTATGAGAACAGCATGGAGGAAACTGCCCCCATGATCCAATCACCTCCCACCAAGTTCCTCCCTCGACACATGGGCATTAAAACTCCCGATGAGATTTGGGTGGGGGCACAGAGCCAAACCATGTCAGTCAGTCATGGTTTTTTTTGTATTTTTGTTTTTTTTTTTGTTAGCTAAGAAGACTTCAATGAGAGGTTTTTATGTTACTCTTGCTATTGCTAGGACTTGGAGTATAATTATTGTTTAAAGTAGCTTAGGTGCAAGAGGCTTCAAATTCCTTTAGTGTCTTTGTTTGTGTCTATCTTCTAGACTCTGGGCTATTTTAAGTTCTCCTCCTCAGAAAAATTCTTTGTCTTGCTGCTCTTTTACCTATAGTCTATTGTTTTTATGCTGGAGCCACGCTGGTGTTGTGACAGGGTGTAAGGGAAGGGAGGCCTTCTTTACAGTTACAATTAAATCTCAAACATTTACTGGGTCTGTTTCCCTAGGCCATGATCTTCACAATTATTTCTCTACTAAGATAGCATTTCTCCTTTTTCTTTCTCCCACTGAATAAGACAAGAAGACTAAAGCCTAGATGGTACTAAATTGGGAATAATGTCCTTCCCCATGTGAGATAAGGCTCCAGTAAATTCTTTTCCCTTATAGTCTTTTGTTATGAAAAATTTTCTCAGTATATTTTACAAGAGTTACTATACCCCTCCCTCTGCCAGAGTCACAGAGGGAGGGGGAAAGTTCTTAGCTCCTCACCATAAGAATCTGATGAGGTTACTGGAAATAAAATCCACAAGGTTCCTAGGCACCTCCTCAGACTGTCGCCCATAGGAGTGTTTAATCTCAAACTGGTCCACTCTCAGCCTCCAGCAATTCACCAAAATTACCATTTAAAACTTTCTGCTAGTTTATGGCTTTAGTGGCTTCATTACAGGTAGGTGGATCTGAATGCTCTTGATTTACTAATCTGTCTAATTTTGCAGTACACTAAAGTGTTCAGGAAAAGTTAGATTCTGGGGGCTTTTTTTTTTCTTTTGGTAAAGATGGCGGTGTGGCAACTTCCAATCTGTGATGGTTATTTTTATGTGTCAACTTGACTGGGCCACTGGATACCCAGAGTGCTGGATAAACGTCATTTCTGGGTGTGCCTGTGAGGTTGTTTCTGGATGAGATTAAAATTTAAATTAGTCGACCTAGTAAAACAGATGGCCCTCCCCAACCTGGGTGAGCATTACTCAAACCACTGAGAGCTGGACTGGAACCAAAAGGCAGAGGAAGGTTGAATTCATGTTCTTCCTGGCTGTTTGAGTCAGCACATCAATCTCCTCCTGCCTTCAGTGCTCCTTGTTGTCATGCCTTCAGGCTTGAACTGGAATTTATATCATTGGCTTTATGGCCTACCAGGCCAGGCAGGTATCCAGCTTGCAGAGAGCAGATCATGGAACTTCTTAGCCTCTATAATCACAAAAGCAAATTTTTTAGGATAAATCATACACACACACACACACACACACACACACACACACACACACGTACACACACAGATGCTATTGCTTCTCCAGAGAACCCTCAGATACAAGTTCTATATATGGGTCAGAAGTTGCCTATATCTAAAGTTTTAGTATACAGAAAACATAAATTCTGAAAAAGATTCACTGAGAGTAACTGCTGTGAGATGGGTCATTCCCACTTACACCCCTTCACCCTCCACATATGTATTCTAAATTTGTATTACATACTGGCCTTTGGTTTGTTACATGGACCTCAGCCTGGAGCACAATGCCCCTCTCCCCGACCATGTTGTTCCTACATTGAAGATTTAGTTGACTTTCTATCATGCTATAAGGCCAGTTGCTTCTGGATATATGCTGAGTTTAATGGATTATTTAGTTATACAACCATTTTTTCACATGCTGTTTAATAAATCTTCTTCTCAGGTAATGTGCAGCAAATGCGGTCAATATATTAGGTATTTTTTAATACCTCAGATTGTTGTGCTGGTTGAATAACTGCAAATAGGATAGGTATATATATACATAATGTGTGTTAACTCTAGGGAGAACAAACGTCTATCCCATCCAATGTGGTAGGGATAGATATGTGATGTCACGATCTGCCATCAAAAGGACTGATTTGTCTTCTCATGGGATAGCTTCATATACAGGGCTAAGACTGTAGAGACAATCTGGCAGATTAGACATTTATCAGGGGCAAAAGCTAGAATAATGTTGATTGAAAGGAGCTTTCGGGCCCATAAATAGTCTCTATCCCTTGCACTAAGACAACTAAATTTATAAACCCATTCAGTGGACACTGGATAGACCCCTGTTATTGACACCATCTCCTGTGGTGATTGCCCATCTGGTGAGCATTAATTTGAGACATAAAAAGCTTCAGGCTTTGTGTCCTTTCTTTTTTGTTTGTTTGTTTTGTTTTGTTTTTTGAGACGGAGTCTTGCTCACCCAGGCTGGAGTGCAATGTCGCGATCTCGGCTCACTGCAACCTCCGCCTCCTGGCTTCAAGCGATTCTCCTGCCTCAGCCGCCTGAGTAGCTGGGAGTACAGGCACACGTCACCATGGCTGGCTAATTTTTGTATTTTCAGTAGAGGCAGGGTTTCACCATGTTGGTCAGGCTGGTCTCAAACTCCTGACCTCGTGATCCATCTACCTTGGCCTCTCAAAGTGCTGAGATTACAGGCGTGAGCCACCACGCCGGGCCCTTTGTGTCCTTTTAATAGGCTCACCCATGTGTCTCTTCTCCAGACTTGCTTCTTCCTGACCTTTCAGTCTTCTTTCCTCTAGGCTTCTTATCCACTAGCCAAACTATTTGCCACTGTAAGCGGATAATGGATATCCGTGCTTTAGACCGTATCTCTTTTCACACAAAGGTAAGACACACTTAGAAGATTTTGCTTCACCGTTCTACTTTATAACTACCACTTAGTAGAATTGTGATTTAACAGCAGTCTATATTAGGGTAGCAATAACATATGATGAAGCCACCCTCTGTGAATTAGGGCTGAATACTTTGCTACACCATCACCGGGTTTGAGGGAACTCCTCTCAATGTTAAGGTCTGATTTAAGAGAAAGGAATTGGTGCAACAAAAGAAGGTAATAAGGAGTTGAACCTATCTCATAATGAGAATTTGGGTCTGCTTTTCAGTCTGGTTTGCTCCTTATTGTGGGAGATTAATCCTTTCTTAAACCCTGCCATATAGAATCACTAGCTTTCACAGCATGACCTAGTTTCGCAGTCAGCTGTCTTGAATCCATATTTTTTTCCCAAAACTTCAAAGTTGTCAATGAAAGCCAGCCTATTCTACAGTTATTAATATTATCACTGTCACCATACCTTCTGAGCATTACCAATCCAATATACCTCAACACTTTATATTCCAGTTACTTTATATCCCAATATTTAATTTTCCACATATATCTCCTGGTGTATACTTTCTCACAGGTACAAATTTCTATGACTGTGATGCTGGGTATTATCACTAAGCCACTTATCTTTAGCAATGGGCTCCCACTTGCAACAGAATGATAAATAACCAAATCCCCAAATCCCATCTTGAGGCTCTGCTTTCTAAATCAAATCCTGGTACCAACTCAATTAGCCCGTTTTCTCAGAAAGCACAAAAGTTTATTTGCTACTAATATATTGTGGAATAAAATACAGGGAACTAGAAATGACAGAAAAGATGAGTGATACAGAGAATGAGGAAGAGAAAATATAAGGTATAATATGAGCTGAGCACTGCTTGACAGCAAGAATAACTAATTGCTACATTTTGTGGGACAGTCTTAGGAGAGACCTTATGGACTTTTGCATCTCAGGACAGTTAGTATGGTGGGAAGAGATGAGGAAAATGTTTATTTGCTGTTCCTGACTTCCACTGGTCAAAGTCTTGTCCTGATCTTTAGCAGTCATTCCTAAGTTAAAAAGATTATTAGGTTATTATTTTTTATAATGTACATGATATAAACACTTCCCAGCTAATAGAAAATTTGTAGAATATGGTAGAGTTGCTGACATATTTTTGTAACTCTGAAAAAACACTACAATTGAAAGAAATATCCATTTTAAAAAATGTAATAAATACGCAAAATAAATTTACAATTGATCTGTCATAATTACTACCAATGTAGGTACAACTTTGTACAAAATAAGTAAAAAGTAAAATTGGGGAAAAATCACTATCTACAAATTAACAGATAATTTTAATATCCCATATGAGTACAAATGAAGTGTATGCTTCATTAATATTATTTTGACAGTTTCTATCATTGAGCATCATAATATTCTTTTTCCAAATGAAAACTAATTAAAAACTATTTAATGAGATATATGCAACAATATAATTTAACAGGATTACAACTATTCAACATAGAAATTTAAGCAGCTACCGAAAGAGAAGCAACAACATGTATTCTAATTACAATAATGCAAATCACCACAAACGTTATTCTAAGCTTGTTTTTAGCTTAATCATATGTGTTGGCAGAATATTATCTTTATTAGCTAGTTATGTTTGTCTTTAGACTAAGCTTCAAGTTTCTTGATAAAATATTGCTTGTTAAAATAACTTTACTTACTTTTTAGTGGTTATGTCATTTTTTCCTGTATGAGAAAACAAAGTCTTAATTTTTTCCAAGGTTAACTATAGGAACAACGTTGTACAGCATATTTCTAGAAATCATCTTGCATAGTTGAAATGTTATACCTGTTGGCCAGCCACTCTCCATTACCTTTTTCTTCAGCCCCTGAAAACCATCAATCTACTCTGTTTCTGAGTTTGACTATTTTAGATACCTCAAGTAAGTGGAATTATGTAGTATTTGCTCTTGTGTTTATTTCACTTAGCATAATATCTTCCAGATTCGCTCATGTTGTTGCAAATGTCAGGATTTCCCCCTTTTTTAAGTCTGAATAATATTTCATTGTATGTACATGCCACACTTTCTTTATGCATTCATCTATTAATGGACAATTAGGTTGTTTCCAAATCTTGGCTATTGTGAATAGTCCTGCAATGAGCATAGGAGTGCAGATAACTTCAAGATCCTGATTTCAATTATTTTGGAAATATACATAAAAGTGGGCTTGTTGGGTCATATGGTAGTTCTATTTTTAAATTTTTTGAGGAAAGTTCATACCATTTTCCATAATGGCTGCACCAATTTATATTTCCATCAACAGTATACAAATGTTCTCTTTTTTTCCCACTTTCACTAACACTTGTTATATTTCCTCTCTCAACTCTCTGTCTCTCTCTCTCTCTTTCTCCTTAAAAATAGTCTTTCCAAGAGGTGGAGGTGATATTTCATTGTGATTTTGATTTGTATTTCTGTGACAATTAGCAATGTTGAACATTTTTTTTCATATACTTGCTGGGCATTTGTATGTCTTCTTTGGAAGAAGAAAATGTCTAATTAGATTCTTTGCCCATTTTTAGTTGGATTGTTTGGTTTTGTTTGTCTTTTAGTGGTATGAGTTCCTTACATATGTTGAATATTAACCTTTTATCAGATATCTGGTTTGCCAATATTTTCTCCTATTCTGTTCATTGTCTCTTCACTCTGTTGATTGTTTTCTTTGCTGTGCAGAAGCCTTTTAGTTTGCTGTAGTCCCATTTATGTAATATTGCTTTTGTTCATTGTGCTTTTGGTGTCATATCTAAGAAATTATTAGCAAGCCCAATGCCATGAGACTTTTCCCATACGTTTCTTCTAGGAGTTCTACAGTTTCAGGTCTTATGTTAAAATCTTCAACCCATTTTAAGTTGACTTTTCTCTGTGGTGTAAAATAAAGTTGCAATTTCATTCTCTTGCATGTGGAAATTTAATTTCTCAACCATACTTGTTGAAGAGACTGTCATTTTCTCATTGTGTATTCTTGGCACCCTTGTCAAATACCTTAACCATCTATGTTTGAGTTTATTTTTGGGATCCCTACTCTGTTCCATGGTTTGTAAGTCTGTTTTAATGTTAGTCTCATATTTTTTTTTTGTTTGTTTTTGTTTGTTTTTTGAGATGGAGTTTCACTCTTGTTACCCAGGCTGGAGTGCAATGGCACGATCTTGGCTCACTACAACCTCTGCCTCCTGGGTTCGAGTGATTTTTCTGCCTCAGCCTCTTGAGTAGCTGGGAGTACAGGCATGTGCCACCATGCCTGGGTTTTGTATTTTTAGTAGAGACAGGATTTCTCCATGTTGGTCAGACTGGTCTCGAACTCCCGACCTAAGGTTATCCTCCCACCTCAGCCTCCCAAAGTGCTAGGATTATAGGCATGAGCCACTGCACCCAGCCATACTGTTTTAATTACTATAGCTTTGCAATATCTTTGAAAACAATAACTATGATGTCTCCAGCTTTGTTCTTTTTCAAAATTTCATTGGCTATTTAGAGGCTTTTGTGGTTCCATATACATTTTAACATTTTTTTCTATTTCTTAAAAAAAAAAACAACCTACCATTGAGTTGTTGATATGCCTCACTTATGGTTTGTAGATATCTTTAAGTAGGATGGACATTTTAACACCAGCATGTATTCCAATCTATGAGCATAAAATATTTTCACTTATTTGTGTCTTAATTTCTTTATTTGACAATTTGTAGTTTTTAATAAATGAGTCTTTTACTTCCTTTGTTGAGTTTATTCCCAGTATTTTATTATTTTTGATGCTATTACAGATGGTATTGTTTTTTAAATTACTCTTTGGATAGTTTCGTTAGAGTGTAGAAATGCAACTCCTTTTTATGGTTAATATTTTATCATGTAATTTCACTGTATTCATTTTTAGATTTATTTTACACATAGTCTTTGGGATTTTCTACATATAAGATTGTGTCATCTGTAAACAAAGGTAATTTTACTTCTTCCATTCTAATTTGCATGCCTTTTTAAAATGCCTAATTCCTCTGGCTAGGACTTCAATACTATATTAAATAAAAGTGGCAAGAATGGGCTTCTTTGTTCTAATTCTTAGAGCAAAAGCTCTTTCTCTCTGTTTTTTAAACTATAGAGCATGATATTAGCTATGTCTTTTCATAGATGGCCATTATGGTGTTGAGGTATATTCTTTATGTATCTAGTTTGCTGAAAGGTTTTTCTGTTTTGCTGTGTTTTTTTTCTTCCATATTAAATTATAAAAGGGTGTTGAATTATATCAAATGCTTTTCCTGCATTTATTGAGATAATAATGTAATATTTATCCTTCAGTTTATTAGTGTGGTGTATCACATTAATTGATTTTTGCATGTTGAAACTTGCATCCTAAAAATAAATCCCACCTGCTCATGGTGTATGATCCTTTTAATATGCTGTTGGATTCAGTTTGCTAGTATTTTGTTGAAGATTTTTGCATCTATGTTTATCAGGTTTATTTCCCTGTAGTATTCTTTTCTTGTAGTGTCTTTGTCTGGCTTGGTTTTAGGGTAATTCTGGCCTCATAAAATGAGCTCAGAAGTATTTCCTCTTCTCCATTTTTGAAGTATTCAGAAAGAATTGGTCCTAAGTTTTCTTTAAATGTTTGTTAGAATTCATCAGTGAAGCCATTTGGGCCAGGGCTTTTCTTCACTGGGAGGTTTTTTTATTACTGATTCAAACTACTTATTTCTTATTGGTTGATTCAGGTTTCTATTGCTTCAAGATTCAGTCTTGATAGGTTGTATATTTTTATGAATTTAAAAATTTCTTCTAGGTTATCCAATTTGTTGGTATATGATAATTCATAATAGTCTCTTGTAATCCCTTTTATTTCATGGCACCAGTTGTAATGTCTTTGTCATTTATGATTTTATTTATTTGAGTTTTATCTTAGTCTGTTTTGTGTTGCTATAATAGCATACCAGAGACTGGATAATTTATAAAGAAAATGAATGTATTTCGTACAGTTCTGTAGCTGAGAAATCCAAGGTTGAAGGGCTTGAACCTGGTGAGGGCCTTCTTGCTGCATTGTATTGTTGTGGAAAACAGAAAGGTAAGAGAGCACACAAGAGAGCAAGAGGGATGGAGTCAAACTCATCCTGTGTAAGGGTACCACTCCTGCAATAACTAACCCACTCCCATGGTAACAGCACTAATTCATTCATGAGGGTAAGGCCCTCATGGCCTAATCACCTCTTCAAGATCTTACCTCTTGACACGGTTTGGTTGTGTCCCCATCCAACTCTCATCTTCAATTGTAACTCTCACAAGTCCAACATGTCATGGGAGGGACCCAGTGGGAGCTAACTGAATTGTGGGGGTGGGTCTTTCTGGTGCTTTTCTCTTGATAGTGAATAAGTCTCACAAGATCTGAAGGTTTTATAAAGAGGAGTTTCCCTGCACAAGCTCTCTCTTTGCCTGCTGCCATCCATGTAGTAAGTGACTTGCTCCTCCTTGCCTTCCGCCATGATTGTGAGGCCCCGCAGCCACATGGAATTGTAAGTCCATTAAACCCCTCTTTCTTTTGTAAATCGTCCATTCTTGAGTATGTCTTTATTAGAAGTGTGAAAATGGACTAATACACTTCTCAATACTGTTGCATTGGTGATTAAGTTTCCAACACATGAACCCTCAGAGAAACATTTATATAATAGCCAGTCTACTCTCTTATTTTTAGTCTAGCTAAGAGTGTATCAATTTTGTTGACTGTTTCAGAAAACCAATTCTTAATTTTGTTGATTTATTTTGTCTTTTTTCTATATTGTATTTTGTTTATTTTTGCTCCAATTACTATTATTTTCTTCTTTCTACTTTGGCCTTAGTTTATTCTTCTTTTTCTAGTTACTTGAAGTATAAAATCAGGTTGTTCATTTAAAATCTTCCTTTTTTAATAGAGGTGTTTATTGCTATAAACTTTCTGCTTACCAATGTTTTTGCTGCATGGCATAAGTTTTGGTATGCTGTGTTTTTGTTTCTGGTTGTCTTGAATGATTTCCTAATTTCCTTTTTTATTTTTTTACTTGACTCACTGGGTATTTAGTAGTGTTTTTAAATTTGCATATGTTGTAACTTTTCCTGTTTTCCATCTGTTCTTAATTTCTAGTTTCATTCATTTGGTAAGAAAAGATATTTGATATAATATCAATCTTTTTCAAATTGTTAAGACTTGTTTTGTGACCTAACCTGTGATCTATCCTGAAGAATGTTTCATGTACACTTGTGAAGAAGTTTTATTCCAGTGCCGTTGGGTGGAATGTTCTCTATATCTCTGTTGGGTCCCTTTGATCGACAGTTTTGTTCAAGTCTGATGTTTCCTTATTAATTTTTTGTCAGGATTTTCTGTCCTTTGGTGAAATCTATTACTGCTATCATATTGCTAGCTATTTCTCCCTTCAGACCTGCCAATGTTTGGTTTACATATGTAGGTGCTCTGATGTTGGGAATATATGTATTCATAGTTTTCATATTTTCCTGCTGAATTGTATCTTCATCATTACATAATTAATGACCTTCTTTCTCTCTTGTGAAAGTTTTTTACTTAAAGTCCATTTTTTCTAATATAAATATAGTCACTCCTATTCTCTTTGGTTTTTAAAGTTATTCTGCTAGTCTAAGTGTTTTTGTTTGGGAAATCTACTCCATGTACATTTAAAGTAATTATTTATAGGTAATGACTTACTATTTCCATTTTGTCAATTATTTTCTGTTTTGTAGTTTAGACATAAACTATGTCTAAACTATGTAGCTTAGATCATAGTAGCAGGTCTAGTGGTGGTGAACTCCCTCAGCTTTTGTTTGCCTGGGTAAGTCTTTATCTTTCTTTTATTTATGAAGGACAACATTTTCAGGTATAGAATTTATGGTTGCTATTTTTTTTTCTTTTAGCACTTTGAGTGTATCATTTCACTTCCTTCTTTTGTAAATATACATATTGTTGAGTGCTGAGAAATCCACTCATAGTCTTATGGAGACTCCTTTGTACATAGTAAGTCACTTTTGTCTTGTTTTTAAAACTCTCTGGTTTTTGACAATTTGATTTTAATGTGTTATGGTGTAAACTTCCTAGATTTCTTTCTTTTTGAGGTCTTTTAAGTTTTATGGAAATGAATGACTATTTTTTTTTCCAGATTTGGGAAGTTTTTAACCATTATTTCTTCATATAAGCTTTCTTTCACTTTCCCTTTTTCCCCCTAAGGCATCTCTTATTTTTTATAATTGATGGTGTCTCACAATTCTCTTAAACTTTCTTCAGTCTATCTTTTTTTTTCTTTTTCCTCCTCTGATGATATTTTCAAATAATCTGTCTTCAAGTTCACTGATTCTTTTTTCTGCTTAATCAAGTTTGAAGTTAAATTCCTCCAGTAATGTTTTAGTTTAGTTATATCCTTCAGCTCGAAAATTCCTGTTTGGTTCTTCTTTATTATTTCTATTTCTTTGTTAGTATTAGTTGTTTTATTCATGTATTATTTTCTTGATTTTATTTACTTGTCTTTCTGTGTTCTCTTATAATTCACTGAGTTTCTTTAAGACTTTTAAAAAATTATTTGTCAGGTAATTCATGTTCTTCATTTCTTTTGGGTCATTTAATGAAAATATATTTTGTACTTTTTATTGTATTTTGATTTTCTCATTCTTGTTCCTTATAGCCTTGTTTTGGTAATTGAGCCTTTGCAGAAATAGCCTCCTTTCTAGTCTTTAAGAACTAATTTTGACTGGGAAAAACCTTCATCTGTCAACATGGCTACAGATGCTGGGCCTTTATTCCTAGCCACCCCAGGCATTCAGTTCCCTGTTCCCCATCCGCACAAGAGTCTGTAATGTTATGCTGTCTTTAGTGTCTAGCTATGTTTGTTCCATCAGCACTCCATGTCAGGTAAGATAAAAACCAGCCCTTTGACAATGCACTGAAACTCCTGAGATACTGGGAGCATACTCTGCCTATCACCTCCCTGCTGGGAAAGAAGCCTCAGTTATGCATCTTTGTCCTATCTTACAGACCCATACTGGCTGCAGCTATGCCAGGCATTCAAACTCTGCTGGTTTTTTCAGTTCTCTGTATGAGTCAGGGCAGAAGCCAGCCCCTCATATAGTACAGTGAAAGGCCATAGACATTGGACATTTGCCCCACTTCCTCTTCCCCTGTACCCTACAGAAGTTGCAATTTCTCTTGGGGATGGGCTGTCAAAACTTGGGGAAAGAATTGATGCAAGCAAAGTGAAACTGCTCTTCTTGCCTTTATCAGTGCAGTTTATCATCTCAATTTTATAGTCATCTGGGGTATTATAACTTTTTAACAGGAGTCTGCACATCTCATAAATATTTTGTTGCTAATATTGTTGCTAAATCTGTCTTTTTGTAGGGGAAAGATTGCTGGGACATTTCATTATACCATATGGGTAATATGGCTCTGAGATTGTTTATTCTAAGTTCAGTTTTCTATAGAGTTTTAATCATGCTCAAAATAATTTGGAGATATTCTTTTACCTTCAAAACAATGACCTTTTTTCCCCTAATCATTCTTAGTATATAAAAAAGGGTTTTTTTTTATAGACTCTACTATATCTACACTTCTTTCAAATTGAAAAGTAGTATGATATACTGGAAAACTGTCTCTAATGTTATAATATATATTTTTAAACATTCATTTAAAACCTACTGTGTACTGAGCAGTTTCCTACTTAACATCGCTAGTAGTATCCCATTCCATTGTCATAAAAATTTGTAATGGAAGTATTGTTATCTCTATCTGGAAATTGAAATTTCCTGAAGACAGATACACAGATTTCATATCCCATCTATATATTTCTAGTTTTTTTTAAATAGATAAGGACATGTTTTATAAAGTATTATAATCAGGGCAAGTGTTCCAACATCTTATGAAAGAAATCTGTTTGTGTCATGTGTGATATAAGCAGTAATGCCTGGCTATACACATGACAGCATTTCACCCTGACTTAGAGAGAGTTCCCTAGAATCAGAGCTTGAAATTGGGGTTGTTACACAATGATTTACTGGAAGAATGCTTTTTAGGAATAACCTATAAAATAAGTGAAGAAAGTAGGATAAAACAAGGGAGAAACTAAGCATGGATGTGGGATTAGGTTGTGCTTACCCTCAGCAAGATTCATGGGAGCTCTGGAGCCTAAGGAACAACATAATGTTGTCCTGCCTTGTGACAAGGAGGCTGGACATTTATTCTCTTCTTTTGGTCACTCTCAGATATCTTGGGACAGGAAAATTCATAAATTAAGACAGTTACTCGAAGAAGAGTGTAACTCTTTGCCTTTGTTATCCAACACAATAGTTAGGGATGTGTAAAGTGGCTCCACAATGGGAATTGTAATGGATTCCCATAGCGGAGCCACTCTACCCATCCCTAACTATTGTGGATGGTCACCAAAAGTGCTCAATATTAACTTGAACAACAAAGTATTAGCAGGTTGCAGAAAGCTCATGGAAGCACTACTGAAGAGTGAAAGATGGCAATTTGTCAACAGGATTGCTATATTATGGATTAAGCAGTAGGTAAACCTGTCTATACAATTCCACATTCAGAACACAGGAATACCACAATAATGGAAACCAATTGCAAATTAAAATAATGTACTTTTCAATTAACAAAGTTTAGTCACATTTATTTTGAAAAAATACCATGAACCTATCATAATTGAGGAGAGTCAAAAGAGAGGAAGATTGTGAACACTGTCTATAAAAATGTAGACAAGCCAGACAGAATAGAAAACTTGGTTGGCTTGCTCGCTGCTCCTTGTGCTGCTTTCTGTAGTTCATTGAAAGGCCATCATCTCTTGGAATCAGTTATGTGTTATATTCTCCCATAGCAATTCTTTTGTTCAATTTATTACTAAATTATTTTATTTCTTACTAAATAATCAGTTGTATGTTAAATTACTCCCATGTTAATTATTTTGTTTATTTATATTCCACACCTTTCTGCTCATTCCAATGGAGCAGTTCAACTGTTTATGGGCAATGCCTTTCAGTGTTCTGTCAGGAAAACATAAACCACTGTGTTTAGAGAAAATTGAAATAAGAAATTGGTTAGGAATCGAGGGTAAGATGGCCGACTGGAGGCAGACAAGTGGAACGGTTCCCACTGAGGGACTGAGATGACTGGTGTGCATTTGTTTATTTATTTTGAGATGGAGTTTCATTTTTGTCACCCAGGCCAGAGTGCAATGGCATGATCTCGGCTCACTGCAACCTCCACCTCCCGGGTTCCAGCGATTCTCCTGCCTCAGCCTCCCAAGTAACTGGGATTACAGGCGCCTGCCACCACACCCAGCTAATTTTTGTATTTTTAGTAGAGACGGGGTTTTACCATGTTGGCTAGGCTGGCCTTGAACTCCTGACCTCAGGCGATCCACCCACGTCAGCCTCCCAGTGTTGGGATTACAGGCCTGAGCCACCATGCCCGGCCTGGTATACTTTTAAAAGACCTTCAGAGGGAAGGTGCCAAGAGTGGATGGAGAGAAGACACAGAAGAGGGCTGAAGTGGGAAAAATCTGGGAACCCAGCACAGGCTACCAGCACACCAGGACTCATTTCTGAACCACAAGAGCTTTAGGGCAATGGGTAAGTTGAACTGGCAAGAAGCAACCTGCACTTGCCTTGGGCCTCTGGAATCCTGGAAGGAAGGGACCCCTCAACCACCAGGGGCACTTGAGTTGGCAGGGATAGCTGCTTAGAGAAGTGGTGGGACAGCAAACCAGCTGATGTGGAGCCCAGAAGGTTTGGTGTGGGAGCGCCTGTAGTGGAGCATGGTCAGGGATGGGCATCCCTCTAGGTTCCTCTTGCTATATCATAAGAGACTTTAGCTCTAGGGGAACTGTTTGACCTGATCTCTGCAAGGTGGTCTTGCACGTCAGACAGGCTGATCCATTCTGAGCGCTCCTTGGTCTGCTGTCCTCTCCTGGGTCCCAGCTTGGCCAGGCCTGCTTACAGAGCAGTCTCAGGTACCCTGGGGACCCACACCATAGCTTCTGCACTGGTCTGGTGGAGAGCTCTTGCAAAGCAGTCTCTGTGGCCTCACATCAGCCCACACACTTCCTCCCCTCGAGCCCATGGAAGGCCCCCACATCACTTTGCTGGCTCATGTCTGCATGGGTGGGTTTTGCTTTACTTGCTCAGCTGGCATGCAGGAGTGCAATATACCCCCCAAACCCCAACCGCACCCACATCCCCACCATTGCAGAAGGATCCCTGGGGGGCACAGAGCCAGCGAGCCCTGCCCTCACCCGTGCTCTGTCTTTGCACTAACGTTAAGCAGAGCACAGGGGATCCTCCCACACCCTGAGCCATGACTCCTGTTTGTGGAGCATAGAGAAGACACGCAGATCAGCCCCAGCCAGCACCCCACCCCAAGCCAACACTATCTCCAGTGCAACACTGCACACAGTCTCCAGCAGAGGTCCCCCACTTCCTCCGAAGCTGCCTTACCTCCACCACTGTGGTGAATACCCGCAGGGAGACAGGCACCCCTGCATCTGCTAGCACTCTGGGGCAGCTGCCACACCTCGCGCCCCCCATTCCCTGCCAAACCCCAACGCAGTGGACTCCAAATTTCAAGGAGTCAGAGAACAAAGTCAGAACCCAATACAGGTACCCCAGAGCTAGAGCACACAGTCCAGGATTGGAAGCTGAGCATCGGCCCTCTAAAATCTCCCAGAAAGGAAGCCAGTTGGCTGAATCCACCACATACCACAATCAAACCCTCAAGGTCATAAAAGAGGATAAAAGAAAAAAAAAATCCAAAGGTCAGCAACCTCAAAGATGGAAGTTAGATAAGCCCACAAAGCAGCCCTTAAAAAGAACGAGATCATGTCCTTTGAAGGAACATGGATGGAGCTGGAAGCCATTATCTTTAGCAAACTAAAGCAGAAACAGAAAATCAAACACCATATGTTCTCACTTATAAGTGGGAGCTGAATGATTCGAACACATGGACACATACAGGGGAACAACACACACTGGGGCCTATTGGAGGATGGAAGCTGGGAGGAGGGAGAGAATTAGGAAAAATAACCAATGAGTACTAGGCTTAATACCTGGGTGATGAAATAAACTGTACAACAAACTCCCATAACACAAGTTTGCCTGTGTAACAAACCTGCACATGTACTCCTGAATAAAATAAAATTTGACAAAAAAAATAAACTGGTTAAAACGGTGATGGGATAGCTGACACACTAAAGAATAGACTGCAAGGAATATTACGAATTATTAGGAGCAAGAAGCTCCTATCTACCTCTGGCTGAAGGGACATAGAAAAGTGGTGGCTTACCAGATTGCAGATTCTATAGTTGTGGCAGGGAATGGATACCACAGAGGGAGAAGCTGAAGGTACAGAGCTACCAAAGGGGATTCCACTTCTGGAAACACCATCCGAGACAGCATAAAAGAGAAATAATTATGTAAGTGTCTCCAAAAATATAGTTTAATGCCCACGAATATGGCAGAATGTTGTTAGTTGCCTAAGTTATATAAGTATGATAATATGAATGCTACCCGTGGCAGAACATAACTTGGCAATATTAACTATCTCCTCGCTTTTTTGTTTTGTTTTGTTTTGCAATAGTGATCTTCGTTTTGTTTTAGAGACAACCTTTATTGCCTCAGAGGACATTCATTTGCCAAAACGATGAATACAGTAGAAACTATAGAAAGTAATTACATCAACAAATTTTCAAAAACTTTTAAAAATTTTGACCAGAGTCAAAATATTGAAAACCTATTATTTGAGAAAAAGTAGGGATTTTGAGTTTCAAAACTTGTCTATAACTATCAAGACCCAGAATCCCAAAGATTTTTCATATAAACTTATTTATAAAGAAATTTTAAAGATAATTCCCATGACACATACTTTAACTTAATCTTCTCAAATACTGCCCTCAACCCACATACACACACACGTGTATATACACATACCTCAACAATATAGGTAAAAATCCCTTGTAGAAAATGGAAGGATCTTCCAGTAATGGCACCAGAGTAGACATGGAAAATCTCCTGCAGACAACAATGAGAAAACATTGCTGAAATATGAACAATTGACTAAAAATGTTAGAAGTAGGAAAAAAATGTGGAGGAATGGTTACTTGAAAAACTGCAACTGTAATGAATAAGAATAATAAAGTTGTATACGTCTTGCCTGAGGGTATTCCACAATCCCTGTGACTATGGTTGTGAAAAACCACACCATTATGAGCTTGGGGTAGCAGAGGATAGGTTCCAGCCTGGGGAAAAAAAATTATAAATTTAATAGAAAGTCTTAGAAATAACATGATCACAGAAGTTGTGAAGTTCAAAATGAGGGTATAAGCTCTACTCAAATCCCCGTCTGGCTGTAAAAATATGCAAGCATAGAAAAACCCCAGGAGACCAAATGGAAAAGCAGGAAGAGACAATGGAGATATCTGTGTTTAAAGTACAGATTTTTGGCCAGGCGCAGTGGCTCACGCCTGTAACCCCAGAACTTTGGGAGGCGGCGGTGGGTGGGGATCACAAGGTCAGGAGATAGAGACCAGCCTGGCTAACATGGTGAAACCCCATCTCTACTAAAAATACAAAAAAATTAGCAGGGCGTGGTGGCAGGCGCCTGTATTCCCAGCTACTTGGGAGCCTGAGGCAGGAGAATGGCGTGAACCCTGGAGGCGGAGCTTGCCATGAGCCAAGATCTTGCCACTGCACTGCAGCCTGGGCAACAGAGCAAGACTCCGTCGCAAATAAATAAAATAAATACAGATTTTCGATTTTACTTCTTTCTTAACTGAGTAACTTCATAAATCCATGCACAATAAGTGCAAAGGAGACCGTGTTTACTAGGATAAAATAGACAGCAGCTAGAAACTGTAAGAATTAAGTGTAGAAAATAGTGCTATATTTTGCAGGGAAAACAGACCTTGAAGTCTGAGTATAGGCAAGTTAATTGGTTACCAGAACAATGACGCAACAATCCTCAGATAAATACAAAAGAATCTAGTGTCACTAAAATGTATGATCTACTATGTCCAGTTTTCAACTAAATACTACCAGACATGTATACAAACAGGAAAATGTAACTTATACTTGGGAAAAAATGGCAGTCAATAGAAACTGATGCTGAATAAAAGCAAATTTAGTAAGAATTTTTTACCCAAAGTTTTCAAATCAACCATTGTAAATATGTCCAAATAATTAGAAGAAAAGTGATTTTAATGAGTTAATATATAAGGAATTTCAACAGAAGAAAAATGAAATTAAAATAAATGGAAATTCTACATGCAAAAAGGATAACTATGTAAAATTAACTAGAAATGCTAACAGATTAGACAAGGCAGAATACAAAACCAGGAAACTTGAAGATAAATCAATAAAAGTAACCTTCCCTAAAAAATAGCAAAAAAGAAAAAAAGACTGCCAACAACAACAACAACAAAGCCACCACCAACAGCAAGAAGACTCAGGAACACATGGAAAAATATCAAGTGGTCCAATCTAAGTACACCTGGATTCCTAGAACATTGAAGGTGAGAGGGGGTACATAAAAATATTTTAAAGAAATGATGGCCCCAAATCCCCTAATTTTGTTAAAAAATGACCTAACAATTCAAAAGCTTAACAGACACCATGTAAGATTAACACATAACACAAAGAAATTTACTTCTAGGCAATGTCAAACTGCTGAAATCTAAAAATAAAGAAACAATGTTAAAAGAACTAACTAAAAAAAATTACAATTACATATTTGAGAACAATGATGTCATTAGTGGCTGATTTTCTATTTTTATTTTATTTATTTATTTACTTATTTATTTAACTTGTATTTTAGGTTCAGGGTAAGTGTGCAGGTTTCTTATATAGGTAAACTCATGTCATTGGGGGTAGTTGTACAAATTATTTTGCCCAGGTACTAAGCCTAGAAACCAATGGTTATTTTTCCTGATCCTTTCCTTCCCCCCAGCATCCACTTCAGGTAGGCCCCAGTGTCTGTTGTTCCCCTCTTTGTGTCCATGTGTTCTCATCATTTAGTTCACACTCAAAAGTGAGAAAATGAGGTATTTGGTTTTCTGTTCCTGCATTAGTTTGCTGAGGATAATGGCCTCAAGCTTCATCCATGTTCCTGCAAAGAACATGACCTTATTCTTTTTTATAGCTGCATAGTATTCCATGGTGTATCTGTACCACATTTTATTTATTCAATATGAGTGGCTGATTTTTCACTGGGAAAAAGTTGAGGCCCAGAGACATACAAATGATATATCCAAAGTGCTAGAAAAAAATGAAAAGAAAACCTTAAAACTAAATTTTTAAATCTATATTTAATAAACTATTATTCAGAAATCAGGGCAACATAAATACATTTTATATAAACAAAAAACTAAGATGAAATATCATCAGCATATCTGCATTACAAATCATTCTATATAAAAGTTTTTCAGGCTAAAGAGAAATGAGACCAGGTTGCATAAATATTTAGAAGATGACACTTTTTAAAAGGCAAAATTTTAACAGGCATTTCTTAACATATGTATGGATGTCCAATAACCACATGAAAAGATGTTCAACATATTTTACTTATGAAGGAAATGTAACTGAAATCCACAATAAGGTACCTATACACATTCTGACAATGACTAGATGGGACTGAGAAGAGCTCACAGAGTCTTTGTACCCCAGCACTGTTAGAAAAGCAGCTTGGAGTTAATGACCGCCCCACCCCCCACCCACCCATACACACACACACACACACACACACACACACACACACACACAGATACAAAAGGGCTGAAGGAGAGGACAAGAGAGATGCTGAGCAATGCTGGCAATTGAGACCACAGTGGAACTGTGGACACTAACCACTTATGAGACTGAGGATAGAGGGCCCTACCTCAAAGAAGAAATGAGAGAAGCAGACCTCAGTGTGCTCCAGCCAGAGCCTGAGCATCACGGAGGTCCTGAAATGCCCTTCTCCAACAATGAGGTGGCGAAACTTGAATTTCTTGAGTTCAAATCCTGAAGTGATTAGTTTATCTGTGGAGGACTATATTAATTTGTATGCCATTTTGCAGTGTAGGGGTTAAAGATAGCACTTTATTTTTGGAATTGTTATGGTTAGGCTTTGTATTCCCAAATTTGTATCCCCACCCAAATTTCATCTTGAATTATAACCACCATAATCCTCACATGTCAAGGGGGAGACCAGGTGGAGGTAACTGGATCATGGGAGTGGTTTTTCCCATGCTGTTCTCATGAAGTGAGTCTGTTCTCACAAGATCTGATGGTTTTATATGTACTTGGCCAAGTTCCTGGTTCAGTCATTCTCTCTCCTGCCACTTTGTGAAGAAGGTGCCTGCCTCCCCTTCACCTTCCGTCATGATTGTAAGCTATCTGATGCCTCCCCAGCCTTAAGAAAATGTGAGTCAATTAAACCTCTTGCCTTTATAAATTACCTGGTCTTGGGAAGTTCTTTATGGCAATGTGAGAATGGACTAATACAGAATAGAAAAATAAAGTAACATTTTTGTATATATAAGATCTGTGACTTGAAGTTAATAGTTTGTACCCCATATTTGTAGAAAGTTAGCCAAGAAATTCAGGAAAGATATTAAAAAATCACATACCTTCAATAGATGAATGAATTATATGACACCAAGTTAATGCACATAAACTATGTTAGGTTAGTTTTTACAAATAATAAGTCAAACAGATTTGACTAAATGACAATGCAACCTACATGTGGTCAGAATAATGATACATGACTAATGCTATATTGATTTTATAAATCAAGGCACTGCAGACACAAAAGTAGTTAGGAAAAATGATAAGCTTAAGGAAGGTGGTAAGTTTTTTTTGTTTGTTTGTTTGTTTTTTGAGATGGAGTTTTGCTCTTGTCACCCAGGCTGGAGTGCAATGGTGAGATCTCGGCTCATTGCAACCTCCACCTCCCAGGTTCAAGCAATTCTCCTGCCTCAGCCTCCCAAGTAGCTGGGATTACAGGCACTGACCACCATGCCCAGCCTTTTTTTTTTTTTTTTTTTTTTTTTTAGTAGAGACAGGGTTTTGCCATGTTGACCAGGCTGGTCATGAACTCAGGTGATCCACCTGCCTCGGCCTCCCAAAGTGCTGGGATTACAGGTGGAAGGTTGTAAGTATTTTATTACACATAAAATAGAAGAAGGTTTTACCATCAAGAAAGGATAAATGTATTATTTTATTCATACAAAAATGTGAATATACCTTCTCTATACCTAGGACTGAAAGACGTAAGCAAATGAATATAACTGTGTTCTTACTAAAGCAAAAGTTGTAAGGTGAGTAAAAATGGAATGAGGAATAGCTCATCCAGAACTAGAGAATTAATGACATTCCAGTTTGCTGAAATAAAGCGTTGTGATTTTTTTCCCCAACTAGGCAAGGATAACACTGATGAAGCCTAATCCATTCTTGCTCTTCTTACCTGTCTTCTAATAGTTTTGAAGGCTAATTATGATTTTCCTTTCAGCCACTTCAAAAACAGTATTTTCAGAAAAATCCTCATTCAGGTTATGCTTTCATGTAGCCACCAGGCATTAATTATCACACAGAAGACTAATTTGGAAACTGGCTGCATAGAGGCAAAAGAGAAGAAATTCACTCAGTTGAATAAAGATTTTCAGGGGAAGCTTGAGAGTAATGGCACTGTGAAACACTTTCCTGAGAAAGAGTTCCCTGTCAAATAAAAAGAAAATTAGTTTTTCTGCTGTGTTCTCTAGCTATTTTCTTGAAGTGCCCCGACACAAGTGATATAGGCCCCAAGCTGCTTTTAAAACCTGTGTTAAGTTGGCAGGGAAATATAAAAGAAGGGCGCCCTTAATATCGGCTTTTAATTCCTGAGAACAACATTTACCTGCTTTCACAGAAAAGAAAGTCTTTTTACAGCATATGTTTATGCAATGACCAGATTATAAACACAATTAATTAAATCATCAGATTTTACCCTTGATCCATTTGAAGTGCAAAATAAAATGGTGTAGTCCACAGCTTCTAAGATGGTCCCAAAGATTCCACCTCCTGACATTCAAAGTGTTGTATAATTTTTTCCTCTTGTGAGCCTTGCTTCTAAATAATAGAATCCCATATCATTGAGGAGACATACCTTCCATGATTAAATTACAAAAGATTCTGACTTCCATCTCACTAGTAGACTCTCCCCCTTGTTAGTTTTGATGAAGCAAGTTGGCACTTTTAAGAGGCTCAAGTGGCAAGATATTGAGAGTGGCTTCTGGCCAAGACCCAGCTAGGAGTTGAGACCCTCTGGCCAATGCCCTAAAAACAACCACATCTTGCCAGCAATCATAAAAGTGAGTTTGGAAGTGGAGACTGGCCCAATTGAGTTTTCAGATGAGACTCTAGCCCTGGCAATCACCTTGATTGCAGTCCTGTGAGAGACCTGGGAGCAGGGAATCCAGCTAAACTATCCCAAGGTTCCTGATCACAGAAACAGTGAGATAGTTGGGGTGTGTTGTTTTGAAGCCATTAAGTTGCTGATCATTTATTACACAGCAATAACAATAGATGGCTAATACAAATGGCAAGAGTGGCAACCAATTTTTTAAAAGCAAAATTATTTACTTCTATTTATTTTTACTGCAGTGTGTGTTAGGGAAATCAATATATTTATACAAAAATCCAGAACCTACAGTATTAACATTCCCTGGTAAATAATCTTACATTACATTTGAATCAGAATAGTTCACTCCACTTTAATTACTTTTCTTTGGGGACCTCAAAGGGCTTGTTTGCGTGTGTATTTTTCAAATTTGAACTGGCCAGTGTGACACCATCCAGAAAGAAAGAATAAAGGTTTGAATAGCATATTTTTCTTTATAAAGGAACCAAATATGATAGGCTGACTCACTGAAAAAATAATTGTAGGTAATTCTCTCATAGCGTCATGGGTTGCCTAAAGTTGGAAAACCCATTAAAAATAAGGTGATATAGTACCAGATGAGGAACCCAAGTTCCCAGATAACCTATATTGTGTGGCCCGCAAGCTATGAATGGTTTTTACATTTTAAAAAACATTATAAACAAACACATAAGAAGAATATATAACAGAGTCATACATGACTCATAAAACTTTAAATACATACTATCTGGATTTTTATAAGAAACAGGTGCTGACTCCTGTTCTATGTCATAATATAGATTTTGGTTACACAGGTGGAAACATTTTCAAAACTCAGAAAATATACACTTAATAGTTTAGCATTTCATTTTGTGCATATTTTACATCAAATAAAAAAACGTCAAAAATAGAACTTCAGTTAATAATAATAAAGCTGCTGAAATAAATACTTGGGGAATTACACAGATATCTGCAAGTTACTCCAAAGTGCTTCAAAAAATAAGATATATTTATAGACTGATAAAGGAACGAATGAATGTATGGATATGTGATAATGCAATTACACTAAAATGTTAGTAGAATCTAAGTGGTCAGCATATTTATTTTCACTGTGAAGTTCTTTCCATTTTTAGTGCAGGTGCCTGAACAATCGCATAATAAAATGTTAGGAACAAATACCATTCTACATGGTGCTAATTGCCAGGAAGTCTATTTAGTGAGTATGAATTGTATAATCACAACAAGCCCCAAAACCCTAGGTGGGTGAAGTTGTAATTGTGTGTCTTTAACTCAATTTAGGTTTTTGGCTGTAGGCCCCAGCCTAGGCAGACAACTTAATCAAGTCAACTCCAGATTTGTCTTCAATCCAATCCAGTGATTCCTCAGTCAATTCAAACCTACAATTTAGACATATGACTGAAGAAAGGAAGGAAGGGAAAGAGGAAAGGAGAAGGAAAAAGTAAAGAAAGAAAAGAAAAGAAATATCCCATTCATTCCCTCCTCCCTGGGGTGGTCCCTAGACTTCTGGTAATTGATGTGGCCCCTGTCTCATCAAGGCTATGGAGAAAGAAAGTCTGCCTTTTTATTTGGCTTCTCTGCAGGTCTCCTTGCCTAAGCCCTGCTCCAGTCTTGGTAGTAAGCACAGACAACAGACCTTCTCTTTCTAGCAGGGCTTGACAGGCTTCTGAACCCCCACCAGCCCCACTTTGTTTTCCTGGTGTCACTTATATATCAAGTTGCAATGGATTTTTCTCTTATCCCCTGACAGGCAGTTCATAGAACATCCTTTTGGTGCATTTTCTCTTGTTCCTTCCTGCTGACCTCCTGAGGAGGTATGTGCCCCCTCTCAGCCGACTTCAGGACCCTGCTGGGGCCCCATGGTAATTTACAGATCTTCTTTTATTCCAAAAAATTGCCAGGTGAAGTTCTGGAGCTCTGGTGGCTACTTACTCTGTACCTTAGTGGCGTGGGGTGTTGCATTTGTGAGCCTGCTGCCTTCAAAGTAGATTATAAGTCCTGTGCACTTCTACATTTTCCAAAATACCAAGGAGTGTTCTATTTTGCTGCTCATCTCTCTCATCTCAAGATGATGGCATTGGGGAAGATACATGGCCCACACAGGGCTTCTTTTACAGTTTGAATGTTTTCGTTCCTGCCAAAATTCATGTTAAAACTGAATCTTCGATGCAACAGTATTGGGAAGTGTTGTCCCTGGGAGACGAGTTAGCAATGAGGGGATAATCCCACATGAATGGGATTAGTTGTTACTATAAAAGGACTAAATGAAGGGAATTTGCCACTTTTCTCCTGCTCTGTCCCTTCCAGTGTATGAGGACACAGCATTCCACCCCTCTGGAGGATTCAGCAACAAGATGCCATTTTGGAAACAGAGAACAGCCTTTATCAGATCATCAAACCTGCTGAGACCTTGATCTTGAACTTCTCAGCCTTCAGAAGAGAGAGATAATAAACTTCCATTATTTATAAATTTGCTCAGTCTCAGGTACTTTGCTATAAATACACTAATAGACTAAGACAGTTCCAACTCTATTCTTCTCCTCAAAATGTGTTCTTTTCCAACCCAGTTTGGTGGTCATAGTGTTCTTTGGGGGGAGAGTCTAGGAGATACCTGTTCTACCTGTTTGTGTTGTCTTTCAAGTCTGTTTTGATCTACACTAGGCCCTAATTTGAACTTAGACACTAAGTATAAATGTGGGTATTTTTTCTTGGTTCTTTACTCTACTAGTGCCTTCTCATCTGATTGTCAAATCTGAGATAGTTGGCTGCACAAGAGGGTTAACAGTAGATGAAATAATCTTTTCATGTATTATCTTACCATGTATTACTACTTTATACATACTATCTATCACATTTACAATATGGAAGGAGCAACAAAAAATAAGGCATATAAATCATTGTAAATTATGCATATTACTGATTATATATGTTTATTTTATATACCATATTTTGTTTCAAGAAAGAATGTAAGAAGTAACTAGACAGTGTAAATGTGTTGCATGAGAAGCATGAATAAGAACTATGAGAAGATAAGAAGGGGGAGAATTCATGCTAAGATGAGGGAAGGCAAGACTGGGGTTAGGGGAGGTGGTACAGGAGGAGAAGTTTCCATGTAGTTCCTCCACTACATGAGTTACTAAACTGGCAAGAACTCTCTTCATAAATCCCAAAGTCCAGACTCTTCATACCAACTACATTGAGACTCCTGAGTACCAGTGATAGCAATCGTAGAATCTTGAATATATAGTTGCTCCCCTCATCTTGGGCTTCAGTACTCAATAAAACTTCACCAAAATCTTTAAATTTGAAAGTGCTCTCTCTCCTAAACCTGAGCACATGGTCAAGAATTATTTCTGCATTACAGAAGAAGAAGGTAGAAGAGAAAGAGGAGGAGAAGGAGGAAGAAAAGGGGAAGAAGAAAGGGAAAAAGGAGGAGGAAGAGAGGAGAGGGAGGATAAACTACTTACAGATTGATATTACCTAATCTTTCCAACATCAAGCAAGCCCGCTACATTTATAACTGTCCCCTCAATCCCAATAAAATAGGAGTTAACACTTATGTCCAAATCTAGAAATTCTCCTGTAATCTGAATCATAACTCACTGCCACATTTAAACATCTCATGCTACTCTCCATCCCCTCTTCTTGGTATTTATCTTGCTTGGTATTAGCTATAATTCCTGGATTTTGCTTTTCATTCTGCCATTGATTTTGAAAAATTCTTGGCCATTACTCTTTAAATATTATTCTTTTCTATACTTTTTTTTATCTTTTTCTGATATCCAACTATATACTTGTTACATCTTTGAAAAATGTCTCACAGTTCTTGAATGTTTTGTGCCATGTTTATTCATTCTGTCTTCTCTTTGAATCTTTGTATGGGGTAGTCCTGCTGACCTATCTTTAAGCTCACTGATTATTTCCTCAGCTGTGTCTAGTTTACCAATAAGATTATCAAAGGCAATCTTCATTTATGCCATAGAAGTTCTTAATTCTAGCATTTTCTTTCAATTATTTCTCAGAGTTTCCACCTCTCTGCTTTCAATATCCATCTGCTCTTGATGTAGTCTACATTTTCTATTAGAGCCCATAATATATTATTCATAGTTATTCTAAATTCCCTGCATGGCAATTTCACAATTTTTCCATATTTGTATCTTGTTCTCATGCATGCTTTGTCTCATCTCATCAGACTGTGCTTTTCTTGCCTTTTAATAGGCCATCTAATTTTCTATTGAACATCATGGATTAGAATTGAGATAAACAGGCCTTTACTGTAAGGATTTATGTTATTTGACTAGAAATTGGACTACGTTTAATGTTTTCTGTAGCTGCAGGAGCCAGAGGCTTTATATTACATATTACATATTACTTTGGTGTCTTTGTTTTCATCTCCCATGTTGTTTCAGGATTCCCTGAGAACTCCTTCTTAGCTAGAGTTTGCATCCTGCAGCTCCTTCATCTGTTACACTGGAGACGTGTTAGGTAATGACAACCAATGGGGAAAGGTAAGAATTCAGTAATATTATAATTACCTTTCAGTTTTTGGTGGGCCTTTGACCTTCACAAGTCTGTTTTATTTTGTTTTGTTTTGTTGTTTTGAGTTTTCTCCCTTAGGGGAGGTAGGAAGGCAAGAGAGAGAGAGAGTCTGAGAACTGTCCTTCCTAGTGGGATTCTGCTATGGTAACGTCATTTTTCCTGGAGTAGGCGTTTGTTATGGAGAAGACCATGGGAACATTTCATGGTGGTTACTCTTCCCATTTCCTGCCAGAGACAGGAGGAGATCTTCCTTGACTTTTCAACATGAAAATCTGGTAGGGTTCCTGAAGTTAAAATTCACATTAGTGTGGGAACTCCCCTAAGACTATGGTCCTTATAAGTTTCTCACTCTCAAAGTACTCCACATTAAGCCTCCAGAATTTTTCAAAATGATCACTGAACTGTTCTTACTAGTTTATGGCTTCAGCAGCTCCTGCTCCAGGTGAAATGTCTGCTGTGACTGTGTATTCACTCATCTCCCCAGATGTGGTGGTGGTGGTCTGTCCTACAACCTAAATTATCCCTGCATCCAAGAACAGTCATTGCTTTCAAATTTGTTCAGTTTTTTCTTGTTGTAAGGCTGAAAGCAACAACTTCTAACCACTTTACATGTTGAAGCTGACAAAAAAGTAGATTTTCTCTTAAATTTCAATCAAAACTTCAGCAAGTTGTTTTCCACATATTGACAAACTGATGCTAAATTTTCTATGCTGAGGCAAAAGATTCAGAATAGCCAACACAAACTTAAAGGAGAAGAACAAAGTCAAAAGTCTGACACTACCCAATTTCAAGACTTATTATAA
The DNA here is from genome assembly GCF_000001405.40 of Homo sapiens. NCBI lineage: Eukaryota > Metazoa > Chordata > Mammalia > Primates > Hominidae > Homo > Homo sapiens. The sequence continues at coordinate 107,661,520 of NC_000002.12, forward strand.
AGCTATAGTAATTCAGGCAGTGTAGTATTACAGAAGGAATAAACAAATAGTTCAATGGAAGGGAATAGAAAGTCTAGAAATAGACAGACATAAATAGTAACAATTGATCTTTGACAAAAGATCATGGGCAATACAATGGAGAAAATATAATCTCTTCAATAAGTGGTGCTGGAACAACTGAAGTTTCACATGCAAATATATTTTTCTAGACACAGACCTCACATCTTTTACAAAAATTAGCTCGAATTAGATCATTGACTCAAATGTAAACTGCAAATCTACAAAACTCTTAGAAGATAATATAGGAGAAAATCTGGATAATCTTGGGTATGGTGATGTCTTTCTATACACATCACCAAAGGATCCATGTGTCAATGCAAAGAGTCAGACTCTAAAATATTTGAAGAGATTTATTCTGAGCCAAATATAAGAGACTACGGCCCATGACACAACCCTCAGGAGGTCCTGAGAACATGTGCCCAAGGTGGTCGGGGCGCAGCTTGGTTTTATGCTTTTAGGGAGGCATGAGACATGAATCAAATACATTTAAGAAATATATTAGTTTGGTCCAGAAAGGTGGGACAACCCAAAGAGGGGTGGGAGGGTGGCAATTCTAGGCTAGGCTATAGGTAAATTTAAACACTTTTTGGTTGATAATTGGTTGAGTTTGTCTGAAGACCTGGGATTGATAGAAAGGAAATGTTCAGGTTAAGATAAAAGATTGTGGAGACCAAGGTTCTTTTGAAGTCTTACAGTGGCTGCCCTTAGAGAGAATAGATGACAAATGTTTCCTATTCAGACCTTTAAAAGGTGCTAGACACGGCCGGGCATGGTGGCTCATGCCTGTAATCCTAGCACTTTGGGAGGCCAAGGCAGGCAGATCACGAGGTCAGGAGATTGAGACCATGCTGGCTAACATGGTGAAACCCTGTCTCTACTAAAAAAATGCAAAAAATTAGCCGGGTGTGGCAGCATGCACCTGTAGTCCCAGCTACTTGGGAGGCTGAGGCAGGAGAATCGCTTGAACCCGGGAGGCGGAGGTTGCAGTGAGCCAAGATCGCACCACTGTACTCCAGCCCAGTGACAGAACAAGAATCTGAGTCAAAAAAAAAATTAAAAAAAATAAATAAATAAAGGTGCTAGACTCTTAATCTCTTCAGGATTGGGAGGGCCTGGAAGAAAAATATCTAGCTATGTTAATAGAGATTCTTTACAGATACAAATTATCCCCTACAAAGGACAGCTTTGGAGGGCCATTTCAAAATATGGCAAAGAAACATGACTTTCTTCTTTGTCGCGTAATGTTACGCCAGAGTCAGACTGGAAAGTAAGTCATGATATATAGGGTTAAATGAAACCCATCTGACGATAATTTATGGTTTGTACGGTATGACTTCCCAGACCCTTTAGATAGGAATTTTGGGAAGATAAAAAAATCAGAGCTTAGTCCTCATTTGGAAGAATTAACTGATAAGCTAAACTTCATTAACATTAAAAATTTCTGCTCTTGAAAAGATACTGCCAAGAAAATGAGGAAAGAAGACAGTCTACTGAAAAAAAATTGCAAAACACATATCTGATAAAGGACTATTTTCCAAAATATACAAAGACCTCTTTAACTCAATGATAAGAAAGAGAACAATCTAACTTAAACACTGGCAAAGGACCTTAACAGACACCTCACCGAAGATCTACACATGGCAAATAAGCATATGAAAAGATACTTAACATCATAGGTCATTAGGAAATTGCAAATAAAAACAACAGCGAACTACCATTACATACCTATTTGAATGGCCAAAATCCAAAGTACTGACAACACCACATGCTTGCAAAGGATGTGGAGCAAAAAGAACTCTCATTCATTGATGATGGTAATGCAAAATGGTATAGCTACTTTGGAATAAAACTTGGCAGTTTCTTTCTTTCTTTCTTTCTTTTTTTAATTAATTAATTATTTTTTGAGGCAGGGTCTCACTTTGTAACCCAGGCTAGACCTCAACCTCCCAGGCCCAAGCCACCCTCCAACCTCAGCCTCCCAAACAGCTGGGACTACAGGCGCATGCCAGCACACCCAGCTAATTTTATTTTCTATTTTATTTTATTTTAGTAGACATGGGGTCTCACTTTGTTGCCCAGGCTGATCTTGAACTCCTGAGTTCAAGCGATCTCAGCTTCCCAAAGCGATGTTAGAGTAGGCAGTTACACAGATATAAGCAGGGCAGGAGAGGACGCCTGCCAGGAATGTCAGGCAACCATCAGGTGATGGTGAGGCAGTTGCTACACTGTCGCTCTCAAATGATAATTGGTTGCAGCTGGTGCCAGGGGACAGCCAGTCTCCCAATAGACAGAAAACACCTGGAGCTGGTGATCAGACGTTTCCTGATAAGATCTCAGGAGTTGGGCAAGTGGGCTCAAGTATGCAAACTAAGAGGCAATAATAGTGGATTATGACCTTCCTCTGGGGGCGTTCAATGGGTAAAGGAAAATCACCCCTAGAAAGCATGAGCACAACCTTAGTAAATGCACTATGCATTCGGTCACTCTCCCAAGTGCAGACCCACACTACACATGCAGCAGTTGAGCAACAGCCCTCCCCATAGAAAAATCAAGGGAAGAGAAACACAAACCCTGAAACTAAGCCAATATAGAAAACCCCAAGTCAAAGGCTGAATGGGGCTCTTGGACCTCTCAAGTCACACTCTTGGGCCTCTTCCAGATGTATTTTGCTTGCTTTTGCTCCTGCTCTAAAACTTATAAAGAAACTCTTACTGCTGATCTAAAACTTGCCTTGGTCTTTCTCTCTGCCGTAAACCTACTTCTGCCCTAGGCCAAATTCTTTCCTCTGAGGAGGCAAGGATCAAATTTGCTGCAGACTGGTATGGATTCATCATTGGTAATATTGAGATTACAAATGTGAAGTCTCCATACCTTGCTGGCAGTTTCTTACAAAACTAAATATTACTGTTAACATACAATCTAACAATCCTACTCCATGATATTTGCTCAAATGTGTTAAAAAGTGTGTCTACACAAAATCCTGCACATGGAGGTTTACAGCAGCTCTATTCATAATTGTCAAAACTCATAAATAATCAAGATGTCCTTAAATAGGTGCATGAGTAAATAATATCCAGAAAATGTAATATTATTCATTGATAAAAAGAAATGAGCCATTAAGCCATAAAAAGATATAGAGAAATCTTAAGCATGTATCACTAGTTAATTCATGTGTTAAATTTATTTCTACATAAATAGCTAAGTGGTATATATTGTTTATCCAGAGGTCATCAAACATTCTCATTATGTTCATCCCACATTACCCAGAGCACTTGACTCATCATAGGCTCCCTATATATATTTGTTGACTGAATGGATACATGTGTATAAAAAAATGCCATTACTCTCCTCTGAACCATGCCTTGAGGCATTTTAAATATTCCAAAAAGTAACTACGAAAGTACCATAATAAATGTGACAATCATATTTAATGATAGCCAGAATAATTACTCTCATCACCTAAATAAAACACATGGCAGTAGAAGAAAAATAGCCTTACTATGCAGGAGATCATTAGGGCATATGTATTGATGGAGTCATGGTGGCACATTGCTTATTTTGCAGACATAGTAGTTCGGCATGAGTTCATTTCTATGAAAAGTTAAAGCTCCACATTTTCTGCTGCATATTTATTTGCAACATTTTAATAATTCAAATGAAATATTATTCATGTTATTAGATTTTGAAAGAATCAATGTTACCTATAAAATTTTTACTTGTCAATAAATAGTTACATCTATGACAGGTGGCAAACACACCTTTATCAGGACAGGCATTAAATTCTAGTGTCAGGCAAAGGAGAATGTAAGAAAATATCAGACAATGTGTCTATGGAAGCAAAGTGTTTATAGAAATCACTGGATAAGCGGTCTTTCATCCAAGTTTCACTCCAATTCAACCTTATATTAGCTTCTCAGGCCAACCAACAGCTGCTCAATCACATGGCTGTGTGATCACAGGTATTGGCTTTTAATTTCTGCAGGATAACTGTATTTTGGTAAAAATAATATTTGAGCAATAGAATAAGCTACTCAGGGAAACTCTGAGAAAACAATAATTAGAAGGGTTGAGCTAAGGCAAATGTTCTTTGATGGGAAGTTTGGGCAGAGGGAGAGAAGGTAAGCTTCTGTGTCAAGGAGATAACTGAAGAACACTAAATCAGTGCTTCGGAACAATTACCTCTCAGAACAGAATCCATTGCAGTGGACTGGTTAGTAAGTATTTTAAAGCCTGAACACAAATTTCTTGTGGGACAGAAATTTTGTTAAATGTGATTGTGACCGAGTCAGAATATTCTGAATATTCTAAATATCTTTTTTTTTTTTTTTTTTTTTTTTTTGAGACGGAGTCTCGCTCTTCCGCCCAGGCCAGACTGCAGTGGTGCTATCTCAGCTCACTGCAAGCTCCGCCTCCCAGGTTCATGCCATTCTCCTGCCTCAGCCTCCAGAGGAGCTGGGACCACAGACGCCCGCCACCGCGCCCAGCTAATTTTTTTATTTTTTTTTTTATTTTTTTTTTGTATTTTTACTAGAGACAGGGTTTCACCATGTTAGCCAGGATGGTCTTGATCTCCTGACCTCGTGATCCGCCCGCTTCGGCCTCCCAAAGTGCTGGCATTACAGGCGTGAGCCACGGCGCCCAGCCTACTCTAAATATCTTTCAGAATTTTCTGAAAGAATATTAACTGTTTAACATTTGTTCCCAATTCACCAGTTAAAAAATGTTATTTGTCTCTCTGACAAACTGACTCTTCCTCCACTGCTCCACCTCCTGAGATGGAACTTGGATGCCCCATGTCACTTGGATTAGTTAATGTAAGCTAGATTGCCCTAATAAATAGACCCAAAATGCAAATGGCTCAATTACAACAGTGATTTATTTATCACTCCTCTAACACTCAAAGGCTGGTGATCCTGGTGGGCCATTGATTCTCCTCCAGGCATTCAGGCCACTCTCATCCAATGGCTACACCACTTGTCCTCTGCATACAGCTAGCAGGAAGAACATCTAGGAAAGTCTCCTGATTTCTTACTATTCCCATCCCAGAGTGACTATTCCTTGATACCCGAAGCAGAAAGTTGTCCTAGTTTATGTTCTTCAAGAGTTGTGAGATTTTTTTAAAGAACTTCATTTTAATTGAAAATGTTAAAACTGTTATCTTTAGAAAACAAAACTCAATAACCACAATTTAAAAATTTCCACATATATGTACTGTTCTTAATAAATAAACAAAATATCTATGGGTTATGTGATGCTTTCATAATCATTCAAGACAAGCAGACCATAGCCTTTCTTTTAATTATGAAAGTTAAACAATTTTTGCATTTATACGTCTTCTCACCTCCACTCAGTCCACCTATTGTTAGTATCACCCATGAATGTGGTACCTTTGTTACAACTGATGAACCAATATTGATATGTTATTATTAACTAAATACCATAGCTTACCTTGGCATTTACTCTTTGTGTTGTACAGCACTATGAGTTTTGACAAATGGACAATGTCATTTATCCACTCTTAAAGTAACATACAGAGTAATTTCATGGCCTTAAAAACCCTCTGTGCTCTGCCTTTTCATCCCTCCCTTTTCCCCAATTCCTGACAACCACTAATCCTTTTACTGTCTCCATAGTTTTCTCTTTTCCGGTATGCCCTATAGTTGGAATAATACAGTATATATCCTTTTTAGACTGGCTGCTTTTACTATAAAATATGTATTTACGTATCTTCCATGTCTTTTCACAGCTTGATAGCTCATTGTTTTGTTGTTGGTGATCTATATTCCACAGAATGGAGGTAGCAGTTTGTTTGTTCATCTGCCTACTGAGGTATATTTGGTGACTTTCCATTTCTGACAATTATGAATAAAGCTACAATAAACATCCATGTGCAAGTTTTTGTGTGGACATAAATTTTTAACTCATTTGAGTTAATACCTAGGAGTTGATTGTTTTGAAAAGTGACTGTACCATTTTGTATTCCCACTAGCAATGAATGAGAAGTCCTGTTGCTCCACATCTTTACCAGAATTTGATATTGTCTGTTTTCTTGGATTTTAGCTGTTGTAAAAAATGGTAGTAATTAAGGCTACAGTTACCAAAGCAGCACAGCACTGGTACAAAAACAGACACATAAACCAATGGAAGAGATTAGAGAACTCAGAAATAAGACTGCACACCTACAGCCATCTGACCTTCGAAAACCTGACACAAATAAGCCATGGAGAAAGGATTCCCTATGTAATAAATGGTGCTGGAAGAACTGGCTAGCAATATGCAGAAAAATGAAATTGGACCCCTTCTTCACACCTTATACAAAAATTAACTCAAGATGGATTAAAGACTTAAATGTAAAACCCCAAACCATAAAAACCCTAGAAGAAAATCTAGGCAATACCATTCACAACATAGGCATGAGCAAAGATTTCATGATGAAAATGCCAAAAGCAACTGCAACAAAAGCAAAAATTAACAAATGGGATCTAATTAAACTAAAGAGCTTCTGCAAAAGAAACTATCATCAAAGTGAACAGACAACCTACAGAATGGGAGAAAATTTTTGCAATCTATTCATCTGGCAAAGGTCTAATATCCAGAGTCTACAAGGAACTTAAATTTACAAGATAAAAACAAATAGCCCCATTAAAAAGTGAGCAAAGGACACGAACAGACACTTCTCAAGTCAAGAAACAACAGGTGCGAGAAAGGTTGTGGAGAAAAAGGAATGCTTATACACTGTTCATGGGAGTGTAAATTTGTTCAACCATTGCAGAAGATAGTGTGGGGATTCCTCAAAGATCTAGAAGCAGAAATACCATTTAATCCAGTAATCTCATTACTGGGTATATACCCAAAGGAATATAAATCGTTCTATTATAAAGAAACATGCATACGTATGTTCATTGCAGCACTATTCACGATAGCATAGACATGGAATCAACCCAAATACCCTTCAATGATAGAATGGATAAAGAAAATATGGTACACATACACCATGGAATACTATGCAGGTTTAAAAAGGAATGACATCATGTCCTTTTCAGGGACATGGATGGAGCTGGAAGCCATTATCCTCAGCAAACTAATGCAGGAACAGACAACCAAACACCGAATGTTATCACTTATAAGTGGGAGTTGAACGATGAGAACACATGTACACATGGGTGGGAACAGCACACACTGTGGCCTGTCATGGGAGGGGGTGAGGGTAGGGAGAGCATCAGGAAGAATAGCTAATGAATGCTGGGCTTAATACCTAGGTGATGGGTTGATCTGTGTGTGCATCATGGCTTCTGTGCATCATGGCACACGTTTACCTCTGTAACAAACCTGTGCATACTGCACATGTACCCTGGAACTTAAAATAAAATTTGAAGAAAAAAAATGGGTAGTAATTATTTTAATTTGCAATTATCTAATAATATATAATATTGAACATAGTTTTATATGTTTATTTGCCATCAGTATATCTTCTCTGATGGTGTGTCTATTCAGATATTTGCTGATCTTTTAAATTGGGTTATTTTCTTACTGTTAAGTTTTAATAGTTCTCCATATACTATGGATACAGGTTCTTTATCAGATACACATTTTATAAATATTTTCTCCTGAGTCATGGTTTCTGTTTTCATTTTCTTAAAGCAGAAGTTTTTACTTTTTTTCCTCCCTCCACCCAACCGTATTTTACTTTTAGTTGAATCCTACTTACTGATTTTTTTTCTTTCATAGATTATGTGTTTGGTGTCATACCTAAAAAGTCACCACCAAACCAATGGTCGTTAGATTTTTTTTCTCTATTATCTTCTAGAAGTCTTATAGTTTTGAGTTTCACATTTAGTTCTATCCATTTCTGGCCACTGGTGTATTTTGATTTTGGAATTTGTTTAGTTCAGGAATTAGCAACTGTGTCAGTGCCCCTCAGTGGATATTTTGTGACATTACGATGTCATAGCTGGGAGTGAAGTGCTACTGACATCCGAAGTAGAGGTTAGGAATGCTGCTAAGCATCCTGCAATGTACGGAGCAGTCCCTCACATAAAAGGGTTATCTGGCCCACATATCAACAATGCCCAGGAAGAAGAACCCTGGTCTAGTGCATACTGCATAGCATTGCAGTGAGATATACATTCTCTGTTTTATGTATTACTCCACTAATTTTTTTAAGGAAAACATTCACTTTGCACTTATCCTTGTATCATACAGCTCCCCACGCATAGAGCCTTATAATTTGTAAAAATTTAGTAAATGGTTATTGAAAATTAATGTATATTTTTAGCCTTGAAGCAATTAAGTTACCACAATGGAAGATACAGATTAAATAAACTCATGAAACTGTGAAGACATTTCCAATTTAAATAATGCATTTTGCTGTCTTTAAATTAACTGATCACTACTAAATATCACAACATAATTTGAAGAAAATGTAAGCTGTGCTGATGGCAGATTGTAAAAACCCTATGATTTATAGTATAAGAATTATACATCTTAGACTTCTGGTTTAACCTGCTACATATAAAGAGCATGGGAGTTGTCAATCCTGCCCTTGAAGAACAAAACCTAAACAAACTGAAAATTAACAACTTTTTTGAGCCCATCAGAGAACTGAGGTTTCAAGGCAAACTATCACCCCCAAAATCAGCAGGAACAGATGAATCTAGAGAGTGGTAGCTGACATCTGCTTACCTGGAGCAGAAGCAAATGGAGCTATAAACTTCTAGGAATACTAAAATGGTAATTTTGTCTAACTACTGGAGCCTGTGTGTGGACTGGCATGAGGGCAAGAAACTTGGGGGGCTACAGTCTTAGGGAGCATTCCATGCTTTTTTGCATTTTACTTCCAGCGAATCCACCAGGTTTTCACAATACAGAGTTAAAAATTCCTTCCTCTCTCTCCCAGGGTAGGGGAGGAACACACACTGTGAAAGAAAACCAGGATTCTCCAAAAGACAGTCCTACTCTCTAGGGGAAAGACATTACCAGCTCCAATAATATATGGTGTCCTTGAGATTATATGTTGGTTACTGTTATTTAAAGAGTCAAAATTATTGATTTTTTTAAAAGAACCAGCTTTATGTTTCATTAATTTGCTCTGTTTCTTGTTTTCAACTAAATTAATTTTTCCTCTAATGTTTATATTTATTTTCTTCTGCTTACTTTATATTTAATTTACTCTCCTTTTCCTAGTTCCTAAAGTGGAAGCTGAGATTATTATTTTTTGAACTTTCTCTTTTTCTAATACACACATTAACACTATAAAGTTTCCTCTAAACACTGCTTATGCTGCATCCCACAAATGTTGAAAAGTTGTATTTTCATTTTCATTTAGTTCAATTTTTTTTAATTTTTATTGAAAGTTCTTGTTAACACGTGTTATTTAGAAGTGTCTTGTTTAATTTCAACATATGTTCGGATTTTCCTGTTATCTTTCTGTTACTAATTTCCAGTTTAATCCCATCATGATCTGAGAGTATACTTAGTAAGATTTGGAATTTTTTAATTTGTTAAGGCATGTTTTATGGCACAGAATGAGATCTATCTTGGTGGATGACCCATGTGAGCTAGTGAAGAAAGTGAATTAAGCATGGGCAACTTAGTGAGACCACTTCTCTACAAAAGATAAAAAAAATTCACCAGGTGTGGTGGCTGACACCTGTATCCCAGCTACTCAGGAGGCTGAGGTGGGAGGATTGCTCAAGCCCAGAAATTTGAGGCCGCGGGGAGCTATGATCATGCCAGTGCACTCCAGCCTGGGTGACAGAGCAAGACCCTGACTCAAAAAAAGAAAAAAAAAAAAGGAATGTGAATTATGCTGTTGTTGAATTAAATATTTTATAAATTTCAATTCACTCAAGATGACTTATGGTGCTGTTCCCTTCAAATATGTCCTTAGTGGATCTGTCAATTACTGATGGAGGGTGTTGAAATCTTCAATTATAAGAGGAGATTTGTCTATTTCTCCTTGATGTTCATTTTTGCTTCACATATTTTGACAGATTGTTCTTCAGTATATACATATAAGGGTTGTTATGCATGCTTGGAGAATTAACCCCTCATTATTATGTAATGTTCCTCTTTAATCTTTGATATTTTTTCTTAAGTCAGTTTAATCTGAAATTAATAGTTACTTTAGTGTTTTTTATGATTAGTGTTAGCACAGTTATTTTCCCATATTACTTTATTTACAACTTATCAAAATCTTTCCATTTGACATAGATTTCTTGTTAGACAACATACAGTTGCATCTTTGTTTTTCTCCTATTCTGATAGTCTCTGTCATAATTGGCATATTTAGGCTATTCATGTTTAATGTGATAATTGCTATTGTTGGATGAACGTCTACCGTATATTTGTTACTGCTTTTAGGAATTTGCTGTCCTTTTTATTTTTTTTATTCCACTATTTTTCTGCCTTATCTGGGTTTTTTTGGTCTTTTTGGGGGGGCGGTGGGGGACAGAGTCGCACTCTGTCGCAGGCTAGAGTGCAGTGGTGAGATCTCAGCTCACTGCAACCTCCGCCTCCCAAGTTCAAGCAATTCTCCTGCCTCAGCCTCCCGAGTAGCTGGGACTACAGGCGTGTGACCATGCCCAGCTAATTTTTTTTTTTTTGTATTTTTAGTAGAGATGGGGTTTCACCATGCTGGCCAGGATGGTCTCCATCTTTTGACCTTGTGATCTGCCAACCTCGGCCTCCTAAAGTGCTGGCATTACAGGTGTGAGCCATTGCACCCGGCTTTAATTGAGAATTTTGTGTGATTCCACTTTCTTTCCTCTCTTAGCATATCAATTATACTCATTTACTCTTTTTAGTGGCTATCTTATAGTTTGCAATATACATTTACAACAAATTTAAGTCTGCATTCAAATAACACTATACTTCTTCAAAGGAGTGCAAGTACTTAAACGAGTGTCTCAATTTCCCTCTCCTGTTCTTTATAAAATTGCTGTTATTCATCTCACTTATCAATAAGCTAAAATCACAGAATATATCACTCCCATTATTTTGAACAAACTATTATCTGATAGATTAAGAATAAACTATTTTATTTTACTTTATTCTTCTAAAACTCTTCCTTTCATTATGTAAATCTGAGTTTCTAATCAATGTATATTTTCTTCTCTTTGAAGAAATCCTTTTAACATTTCTTGCAAGGTAGCTCTATTGATGCCAAATTCCCTCAATGTTTTATGTATTCTAATTTATTTATTTATTTATTTTGAGACGGAGTCTCGCTCTGTCCCAGGCTGGAGTGCAGTGTCATGATCTTGGCTCACTGCAATCCCCACCTCCTGGGTTCAAGTGATTCTCCTGCCTCAGCCCCACAAGTAGCTGGGATTACAGGTGGCTGCCACCACACCCTGCTAATTTTTGTATTTTTAGTAGAGACCATGTTTCACCATGTTGGCCAGGCTGGTCTTGAACTCTTGACCTCAGGTGATCTGATCCACCTGCTTTGGCCTCCCAAAGTGCTAGAATTACAGATGTGAGCCAGCACACCTGGCCAATGTTTCCTTTTTCTACATTTTTGAGAACACTTTTTATTTCTCCTGTATTCCTTCCACACCCGTGACAGCTTATTTCAAGGTTTTCTCTTTGTCTTTGATTTTTTTGCAATTTGAATACAATACAGTAGGTGCTTTTTTTTTTTTTTTTGCTTTTTTGATTTGGGGTCATTTCGGATGTTTATCCTGTTTGATATTCTCTGAGATTCCTGTATTTTGTGTCTGTCATTAATTTTGGAAAACATTGCAGAGTGATAATTTCAATTTTTTTTGTTTTTTTTTTCTCTCCCTTCTTTTTCTACCATTCCCATTATACATATGTTATACCTTTTGAGATTATCCCACAATTCTTGAATGTCCTGGTTTTTTGTTCTGGGTTTTATTTTTCATTCTTTTTGTCTTTGCATTTAATTTCACAAAGTTTTTATTGACATATCATCAAGCTCACTGATTATTGCCTTTGCTATTTTCAGTCTCCAAATGAGCCCATCACAGGCATTTGTCATGCCTGTGATACAGTGTTTTTTATTAGTAGGATTTCCTTTTGATTCTTTCTTAGAGTTTTCATCTCTCTGTTTATATTAATGATATGCTTTTGCATGTCATCCACTTTTCCCATTCTGGGCGTTAGCATATTAGTCATATTTAAATTGAAATTATTTTAAATTATTGGTCTAATAATTGTAGTATCTCTGCCATATCTAAGTCTGGTTCTTATCCTTGCTGCGTCTCTTCAAATTGTGTTTTCCTATTGTATGCCTCGTGATTTTTGTGTTGAAAGACAGACATGTTGTAATGGGTAATGGAAACAGGTAAAAAGGTCTTTAACATGAGATTTTATGTTTCTTGGGCCACGAGTTAGACAGTGTTTACTGTTTGCTGTTGCTGTGGATATCAGAGGCTAAAATTCTTCTGGTGTCCTTGTTTTTTCTTCCCTCTTGTCTTTGAGTTTCCCTAGACACTTCTGAAGTGATGTCGTTCATCTGGAGTAGTACCTGAGGTTCATTGTCTCACATCAAGGAAATCAAGGACATGGACACACAAGGAGTGAGGTTAAGAGTAGAGATTTAACAGATGAAAGACAGAGAAAGGTTATCTCTCCTGCAGAGAGGGGCTCCTGAGTGGGTCTTCCGCTTCCATGGTGAAATGCACAGGGTTTTATAGATGAGTTTGAGGAGGCAGTGTCTGATTTGCATAGGGCACAGAGAATTGCTTGGACAAGGTGTGCCATTTATATAACACGCAAAGAAGCCTGCCATCCCACCCTAGTATTTTATATGCAGATGGGGTCCCTATCTGGCCAGCACCATGTTGCCTGCTTCTTTACTGTACATGTGGCAACATAGAAAACGGAAGAGAAAGCCTCTATGTTGAACACAGCTGGCCCCCAGGTAGCCTTTTCCTAATGGCACACCTGCTGGCATTCACCAGTGCAAGCTTCCAGCTTGCTTACCTATGTCTGCAGCTCAAATTTATATGCTGCAATTTGGGGGCTGCTCTTCATTAAAAGGGAAGCCTTACCAATGACTCTCTTACCCTCATTAACTGCCCAAATAATTTCATTTTAACTCCTGTATCACTTCATCTTAAATAAGGTCTGAGATGTGCAGTTTTGTGCAATGTAATGCCCAGTCACAGAGGCCTTGTTGAGGTAGTAATAAGCTGTGAGAGGAAGGCATAGCATTCTGTGGGCCTGTAATTTGCTCTCAGGCTTTTACTGAGTCTTTGTCCTTGGGCTGTGACCTTCCCAAGTGCTTCTCAGTCCCTTCCCCACCCTAGATGAAATAGAAAGGCTAGACGGGTCTGGAATTGGGTAATCCCCTCTTCCAGGTTGGTTAGGCACTGGTAAAATCCAAGTCAGTTAAACTGTAGATAAAGAACTCGTCTTGAAAGTATGCTTTTGCAAAGGAGAGCAGAATACTTGGGGCATATTTTTAAATGGTTAGTTTTTCCTTCCCCTTACCAAAAGCATAAAGGCATTTTCTCTTGTCTTCACCCTGAGAACCTGGTAGACATTTTGCTTTCCCACACCAGAATCTAGAGTGAGCTGGAGTTGAGTATTTCTTTCTTCCTAGGTTAGTTAGGCTCTGGTAAAACCCCAGTCTATTAGGCTTTGGTGAAATAGTTTCTTTTGATAGCAGGCCATGGTAAGAACTGAATGCTCTTGGCATATTTAAAAATGGCTATCCCCAATCCCACTCTTATCTTCACAAAGGTATTTTTCTCCAGTCTGCACTGTGAGAATCTGGTAGGGCTCTTGGAGATAAAACTCAGGAAAGAGAGTTTAAGGAATCTCCTTAAGACTGGCACCTCTGGAGGTTTGAACCCTCAGGCTTGTCCACCTGAATTGCCTTTAGCAATTCATTAATTATACTTTAAATTTTCCTTCCTTTGTACTGTCTCCAGCATCTGGCTTCTGCTCCAGTGAGCTGAGGTTCTCTGTAATCACCTGTTGCTCCAATCGTGGGGGCAATAGTCTCTCTTGTGACCTCAATTCTATGATGGACCTAAGAAAAGTTGATAATTTGTAGTTTGCTCAGCTTTTTCTGTTGTGAGGACAGGAATGATGATTTCCAAGCTTCTACGTCAGACTCAAAATGAATTCTTTATTTATTACTTGCTTTTCTACCTGCATACTACCATATAATACCAAATATGAATAACATTCATAATATGAATAATATTCATATTAAATATTAGAAAAGGTGGTTGTAAAGATACCATTCTTCATACAGATTACTAATTCCTTAATGTTGAGAAAGCCTGAGCAGCTTATGTCAAGCAGAAATATGTATCATTAATTTTTCATGGTTAAAATTATTGATTCACCTTTGTAAGCATTTCTCTGGCATGAAATACTTTAAAAAGTAATGCAGGCCAGGTGTGGTGGCTCACGCCTGTAATCCCAGCACTTTGGGAGGCCGAGGCAGGTGGGTCACGAGGTCAGGAGATCAAGACCATCCTGGCTAAAACAGTGAAACCCCGTCTCTACTAAAAAAATACAAAAAATTAGCCAGGCATGGTGGTGGGCACCTGTAGTCCCAGCTACTTGGGAGGCTGAGGCAGGAGAATGGTGCGAACCTCGGAGGTGGAGCTTGCAGTGAGCCGAGATCTTGCCACTGCACTCCAGCCTGGGTGACAGAGCGAGACTCCATCAAAAAAAAAAAAAAAAGTAATACATATGCCTTGGATATGTATTTTACTGGTCAATATACAATTACATTGTTGTTGTTGTTTTAAAATTTCATTTATGTTTCATATTCTCTCTCTTTTGTTGTGGATCCCTGGACCTCTTGTGTCTTCTCATTCAGAATTTTTACCATGGTCTTACCAATGCTTTGTGAGTTCACTAATCCATGAAACAGAGCCTAGGCCTGTGCAAACTGAAACTACATGAGATTTGCATTACCCTAAATGTTGTAAGTTTACTCTCCAATTTGTAGGAGAGGTCAAGTTTTGTTTTTTAAGTAATATAACTGCTTTTTAAGATTATTTCTTCCAGTGAATGTCTGTTTGATATTTCAATTCTTAAGATGTTCTAATATTTATATTTTAAGTTAAACATCATTTCATTTTTCCTAGAATATATATATAACCTCACCAAAATCTACTTTGCCATTGAGGTCACAAATAAAATGCTAATGCCTCCCAGCTTGGATATCATCTGAAAATTAATTATTAAAGCTTTTTATTTATTCTCCAAATTTGGTTAAAAGGCAAAGCTAAAGATATTTTGCTGTACAATAACCATAGACTTTGTGCTCCTCCAATATATGAAATACATATATATAAAAATACATTTATATTTTTATATATAAACTCTATAAAATATAGATTAATAAAAGGAGGCCTTTTCTTAGGTCACTGAATCATGATTATAATCTTTCTCCATCCAGAAGCTCTGAGTTTCCACATCAGCTATAGATGATGTGTAAAGGACCAGGGATGAGAATAAGACAGCTATGTGATATTGACCACATCAGCCATGAACAAGGGCTCTTCTGGGGAAATGTTCACTCCACAGCCTTTACTGAAGGACTGCTTCTTTTGGTGTTATCATCTGTGGCTTATCAATAGAGAACACAGATCTTTACATAGGGAAAAGGGGCCCATTTATGGAGCCATGTTTCATTAATTTATGCATTCAGTTACTTCTTCACTCTGCTGAGTCCATGATATGACTCAGGCTATTCTATTTCCTGGGGCTATAATGATGGATGGCAAGGACTGTCTTTAGTGAAGGAGTAGCTCAGAGACCCTGGAGGGTACATAAAAGTAAATACTTAGAAAAGATGATAATCACTATGATGGGGGTAATCGCAGGAGGCTAGGGAACAACACAGTGGAAGAGTACAAATGAGACTGGAGCGAAGGGGAAAAATAGTGTTCACATAGGAGATGCATTTCAAGGTCACATATTGCAGACTGATGAAATAATATTGAGATGAGGAAGAGGACTGTATTCCAAGCAAAAACAGATCCACAGGCAAAGGACTGAAGATTGCAAATAACCTGGTATGGCTTGATTATGATTAGGGAATATAGAAAAGTGTGTTTGTGTTTTTAAAGTAGAAGAATTTGAACATACTTATATATGAATGTGGGAAATAGCAAAGGACAAGTGTTGTTAATAAATATGGAAGAATCCGATAGGATGGATGAAGGCTTTCCACAACTTAGAAACAAAGATTTAACATGGACTTAAAGCGAGCAAACAGTTGTAAAATTATCTTGTCAAGTTCCACTAAGAAACACTTTACTATATTTTCAGCTAGTAATAAGAAAAACATTTTTCTAGATTTTCGGCTACATAAATAAGATTAGTAGAAAAAGTAACATTTTATCATGTACCACATTAAATATCTGCAAAATAATAAACCACATAATGCACTTATGGCAAACCCATAGATTGTTTAATGCCTTTGACCATCAGGGCCTTGATTTCTAGCGTCAAAGAAAATAAGACAGTAGATATTACACAGGGTTGATGATTGGCAAGAAAGAAATAGTGGGAAGTTATGGAGAGGTGGTAAGATACCAGTGTTGAAGAGAGACAGGGACTACAATGAGCATGAGGCTTACGTGTAGCCCCATGGAGGAAGAGAGCCAAATAAAATCAAACAGGGGTTAATGGGCTGGTACACTAGGATAGAACTGAGAAGAGGAAGACTGAGATGCAGATTTACTGAGAGCAAAATAATCAAAGGTAAAGTCAGAGAAGAGAATGTGGAAATTCAAGAATTTGAAGATAGAGTCATTTCAAAAGCTGCCAAAGATGGTAAAATTTAAGGTGGGTTCCCAAGGAAGTTTCCCTCAGTTACTGAGGAGGATGATTCAATGTCAGTGAAAATGTTATGGTTTTAAGATACGCAGCATACACACACACAAAGACAACAAAATTTATTTGGCATAGCAGAAAACTCTTTGTGTCAATTTTCCACCTGTGCTTATCATGGGCTATTTCATAACCTTTTCTAGCCTTCAGGCTTTGTTATTGAATTTCAGGTTTCTTGTTCTTTCATTAAAATGGTGCCTTCTCATATGATCTTCTGTGATTTTCACAAATGCTGGATCCTGAATTACAAAAGATAATAATTAAATTTAAAAAATAAAATTAGAGGATCATACCTATTGTGTCTCATTTCACTGCTACGTGGATACTCTCTCCCCTTAATATTCACCCATCTTTACCTGTTTGTAACACCACACATGAACACTATCTCCACCTAAAAATCTTTCCTAAGCTCACACTCCTACCATAGCCGAATTATTTGCCTCTTCTCCTTGCTACTGTAGCAACCTATGCATACCTCTAGCAACCCAATGCATCATGCAACAATGTATTATGACTATCCTCTTATACAAAGATCTTTCCGAATGACTTCAAAACTTTGAGGTGAATGATATCTAATTCACCTTGTTTTCCCAGTACACAGCAGTTACTTGATAAATATTTGTAGAACTGAACTCTCTTAATATATCCCCATGCTCTGCTTATATTTGTGGATTGTAATCTTTTTTCTACCAAAATTATAGTAGCTAATATGTATTGATTGCTTACATACCAGGCACTCTGTATGTATCACCAAACATAGCAAATCTGTGTGTTACACATTATTCCCATTTTACTAATGAAAAAAATACAATTGTTTTCATATACCACTTAGAGTATTAAATTCCTTGCATATGATCACAGGAATTCTCACTATAGAGCCACTTGATTGTATTTACTGACCATGATATGTCACCTGAGGGGTACCGCCACCAGTAACCATGGCTCACAAAAGGATAGTGATTCTTTCTGGAAGCAGGAAGGCTGAGGTGTACCATCAAGGAAAATTATAAACATTTCAGTAAAAGGAAGATGTGCTTAAGTGAATATTGATCAGATAGATGGCTTTGAAATCCACTGGATGTGGAGTGAAGACTTTTCCTTGTCTCCACACCGAGAATCACCATGTGTGCTGAGACTCATCTCTCCAGTGATCCAAAGATGAAGTGTAGAAAAAACCTAGCTCAGAGTGTGCATTTCAGAAGAGTAATTTTACTGGGTGATGCTGGTAGAAGAAAAGCCTAGCAATCTTACTGGAAAATGTATCAACCTCTCTTCTCATTTCCTGAGTTTACAAAAAATAATAAAACAGCCCTGGTAAGCAAATGTTTGGTGGATTTATGCCCTGAAGAAGAGGTTAGACTTAGGATGTAAGTGGCAAGAGGCTGGGCCTATGGATTGAAAGATACTCACATGTGTGGCATCCAGAACTCATAACTGATCGTGTCCTATCTTTATAGGCAGAATGAGTAGGGTGAGATTGAGTTAAGTACCACAACTCTCAACCTGTTTAACAGCCACCTCGTCTTCACTCACAACAGAGGAAAGAGCCATATATTCCTGATTTAATTCTCCTTTCTTTACTGTGATGACTTTCTAAAGCAATTCTAAAACTGCACCAACAATAAGAAAAAAATCATTGAAAAAATAGAATATCAATTTAAGAAAAATAATTCCAGATTTATAGGTCAAGCAGAATTAAGGTGCCATATTGAACATTAATTAAGGGTATCTCTTCTTCCCCTAAAACACTAATAAATGGTGACAAAGGACACACACATACACACAGAGAGAGAGAGAGAGCACAAAGGATGGAGGGTCATTAGGAGACAAGAAATGTTTAAAAAATACTATAGGAGATGAAGAACTGATGCAGAAGTGGTAGAGAAGCTACATGGGTAAAGGGAAGTGCCATTGGGAAAACTGTGCACATGTGACTTGGGCCTCCTTCCAGAATCTCAGAGAAGCTCTAAATTTAGAAAGGCCAAAGAAAACAGGACATGTTGTAAAATGTTCAAAACAAGGATAATATCTGAAAGCCTATCCCTCTACCATTTGTCTTTAAATTAGCTCAAGGAAGCTGAACACTTTTCTCCAATCAAAAAGTGGGAGTCTCAAGGCATTCAAAAAGCTTTAAATGAGTGATACTGCTCACTCTCCCTGAAGATCCCTTTGTTCACTCTTCCTGAAGTAAAGATTACCCCATGTACTGTCTTCATATATACAGATCTCCTATACTATATTCTACTATCTCTCACACACAAAAATAAGCTGCTTATTTCAGAGTGAAGGTGTTAGAATAAAAAAATTGCAAAGGAAGTCCAGATTCCCTGATTATTAACATCTTATATTAGTATGGTACACTTGTTATAACTAATAAACTGATTTTGACACATGATGATTAACTGAAGTTTTTCTCTTCCAGGATCCTATGCAAGATCCACCACATTTCATTTAGTCACCGTGTTTCTTTAGGCTTCTCTTGCCTGTGACTGTTTCTTAGATTTTCCTTATTTTTGATGAGCTTGACATTCTCTAACATCAGGCATTTTGTAGAATATCCCTCAATTGGGATTTGTCAGATGCTATTCTTATGATTAGACCAGGACTATGGTATTTTTGGAGGAAAAACACAGAAATGAAGTGCTATTTTTAACGTGTCATATCAAGAATACATGGTGTCAACATGACTTGCCGCAGATAATGTTAACCTTGATCACCTGGCTGAAATATTGTGTTTTAGGTTTCTTGGCTGTAAAGTTACTCCTCTTTCGCCTTTTTTGTGCTGTACTTATTGGAAAAAGTTACTGTGCACCGGCCACACTTCAGGAGTGGAAAGCTGAGGTCAGAGTAACTACATAAATTTTTGGGAATTCTCCTACATGGGAGAGGTGTCTCTTTCCCCAGTTATTTATTTAATTATTTATATTTATATTTATATGACTTGTGGATATTTATTTTACACTTTGGTTGATAATCCAACCCAAATATTTATTTTGTTGCTCAAAATGTTTCAGTGTTGGCCACTGGAAGCTTGTTCTGCTATCTCTTACTTTCCTTTGATACACCCCCATTGGTGTAATTTTTTTTTTTAGCTTTCTCACTTTCTGGCACTATAAGCTACTTGTCTTGCATATTCCCTGTTCCAACCCTAGGATAGACTATTTTTGTAAGGAACCCTGGATCCTCTTATTGAAGAATGGTATTAGAAATGAAGACCTTGGCATTGGGCATTATTACTTCCTTTAACATATAAATAGGGACCAAGGATCGCCAGACATTTACATAAATCTTGGAACAAGAAAGAGAAAAATAAAGTTAAATACTCAACAAGATATCCCAAGAACAGCAGTCCCCAACCTTTTTGGTACCAGGGACTGGTTTCTTGGAAGACAATTTTTCCACAGACCAGGGTGGGGGGATGGTTTCAGGATGATTCAAGCCCGTTACATTTATTGAGCATTTTATTTCTATTATTATTATTACATTGTAATATGTAATGAAATAACTATACAATTCACCATAATGTGGAATCAGTGGGAGCCCGAGCTTGTTTTCCTGCAACCAGACAGTCCCATTTGGGGGTGATGAGAGACAGTGAATCAGGCATTAGATTCTCATTAAAGCATGCAACTTGGATCCCTCACAGGCGCAGCCACAATAAGTTCTAGCTCCCAGGAGAATCTACCACCCGCTGATCTGACAGGAGGTGGAGCTCAGGCGGTAATGCGAGCAATGGGGAACAGCTGTAAATACAGATGAGGCTTCACTCACTCACGTGCCCTCACTGCCTGCTGTGCGGCCTGGTTCATAACAGGCCATGGTTGGATACCCGTCTGTGACCCAGGGTCTGGGGACTCTTGCCCAAGAAAGTAGTGCTAATTCAGGGTATACAAAGAAAAATATGCAGCATCCTCAGTTACAAGATATTGTATCCAAAATTTAAGAACAACATGCTAGGAAAAATGCTAAATTATATGCATAAGAAAGAACTCAAGGAAAACAGAAAAATGACAAATGCAATTAAAAATTATTTTGAAAGTCAATAGAAGCATTGGAAAAATAAAGTCAAAACTCAGAGAAAATAATGCCAAAAGTCATAAGATTGCAGTGTATATAAGAAAAGATAACACTCAGCCATCTATCAAAGGAGCTCAACCAAGAGTTTTAGAGTAAGAGAACAGTCAAATTGGTGAAGGAGAAGATATTAAAGAAATAATACAAGAGAACTTCTCAGAGTCAAAAGTTATACATCTCTGGACGGTTTTGATGGTTGGAAAAGACCATGTCTAGATACATTATTGTGAAATTTAAGAGCACCAAGAATAAATAGAGTATACTAAAAGTTTTCAAAGGAGGAAATTACTAGGTCCTTAACAACGGAAAATAGCATTAGATTGACATTAGATGTCTCAACCTCAATACAGGATGTTAGAAAAAAATATGTGAACATTTTCAAAGCTCCAAGTATAAATACTTTTTCAGTTTGGAATTCTATAACCCAGGAAACTTTCTCTTTTTTTTTTTAATTAATTAATTTATTTATTCATTTATTATTATACTTTAAGTTCTAGGGTACAAGGGCACAACGTGCAGGTTTGTTACATATGTATACATGCGCCATGTTGGTGTGCTGCACCCATTAACTCGTCATTTACATTAGGTATATCTCCTAATGCTATCCCTCCCCCATCCCCCCACCCCACGGCAGGCCCCAGTGTGTGATGTTCCCCATCTTGTGTCCAAGTGTTCTCATTGTTCAATTCCCACCTATGAGTGAGAACATGCAGTGTCTGGTTTTCTGTCCTTGTGATAGTTTGCTCAGAATGATGGTTTCAATTAATTATTAGATTAGAATAGAAACATTTTCAAACATATGGAGAAGTGGAAAATGCACATTCCATCAGTCTTCCTGAGGAGGTTACCAGATGTCCTCGTTCCAACAAAATGAAGGGGCACATTATAACGAAAGGCAGGAGGATGGGAGAGAAAGGAAGTCGTGGGCTTTTCTTGAATAAACAAACATAAATGCCAGAATGACAGCTCTGCAGCAGGCCTCACGGAGCAGCCTGTCCAGGATAATGCTGCAGGATAAGTGTTCTAGGAGGGTGATATCCAGGAAAAATGTCACATGAAATTTTGCACTATCCCTGAAACTCTGAATAACTCATACAGGCTCTAAGGGCAGACAATAGTGCAATTAGAAATGCCAGGAAATAACCAAAACTGCTATAAACAAAACCAAACCAAAACTGTGAGGGAATGCTATTCTATAATACCACTTGATGTATATAATATCTATACAGTTGAAATAATGTCAACCCAATTAATTAATGATAGTTGCATAACTCTATTAGGAGCAGGTGAGATGAAGGTGAATGCCCTTTATAGTAAAGTCTTCATTTATCAGAACAGAAAGTCAATCTACAATGACTAAAATTGAGGAATTCATGAATGGAAAAGCCTAAATTGTAAAAGTGGCAGTCTCTGGGAGAAGGGTTAGGGTACTTCTGGGGGAAAAAAGAGATTTCTGGGTTTTTATTTCTTATTATTATAAACATCACTTTTTTTTTTCTTTTTCAAGTATGTACACGTGCTATTTGCATATAAAATAAAATGCATTACCATTTAATATATACATACAAACTTAGGCAACTAGTTAAATGTTCTATGGGAGAGGAAACTGGTTTTCTAGTTCTCTGCCTCTCCACTGAGGGAGACAGAGCCTCTGTGCTATCGATTTGGGCATTTTTAGCATATAGATGGAATTGAAGCCATAAAGTTTTGAGTTTATCCAAAGAGAATGTGGAAGGACGAGGCAAGAAAGCCTCCGACAGATCCCAGTCATAAGCGAGGTAGGTGTCATAAGAATCGAGGGAAGAAAATTGAGAGATTGATCAGCGATCATAATATAGCTAACATTTTGAGTTCTTAGTTTGTTTCAGGGAATGTTCTCTTTACATATATTAAATCATCTAATTCTCTCCATGAAGTTGATACTACTGTCTATATTTTCCAAATGAAGTAAATAGAGATTAAATTGATTATACACATTTCCCAGGTTCATAGAGTTTACACTTGCAGGACCTGGGATTATTAAATAGGCATTCCCTTTCTGGAGCTCATATTCTTAACAATCCGGTTATCCTATTCTGTGGAACCCTGCCAAGAAATCAAGGATCGGGAACTGAGGGTTCCTTGACTTTAAGGCCCACAGCACACTGGCTTGCCTTGAAGAAGTTCAGCTCCACTTGAACGAGGGATGGGGACTTACTCAACAAACATTAATCAAAAGTCTAAAATGTGCAAATCTCTGTCTTGGAACACGTGGAAATAGAGAGAACTAAATATGTGGCTCCTATATGCAACAGGCCCATACTTGAGTTGAACTTCCCATTCATGACATTCAAGATCTAGAGAAACTATTACAATTAACAGTTCTTTTCTTCTGCCCCACACATTCCATTACAGAAAAGATGTCCACTTTTGCCCCCCCCCCGAACTATATTCTCCAATTAAGAAATCGATGCTGATTTTATTATCGTTTTTAGGTTCTGTGTGCACAGGGACAGCTTGATTATGCTAATCAACATCACTGAGTTTCTAGATTATGCAAGTGCCTTCATTTCAAATCTAGGGATGTTGCAGAACAGCAAATTGGTTTAATTTGACTTTTTTTTCAATTTGTAAATGTACGTGTTGTGCGTATGTTGCGTATATGTGTGTATTGTGTAGCTACACATCCAGGGAGCCAAGAGCTCTCACTTTATGATAATGCAGAAAGAAGGCAAAGCTTCTGCTACTGTAAAATGACACTTTCCATCCTTACAAGAGTCCTTTTGTTCCTGGGTTTTCTCTTGCTATATTTCCTGAGATTCTTTTCAATTCTTTCCATTCCTTTGTTTTTATTTTTCTCAAATCCCTTCTTTGTTGGTTGTTCTTTCAGGAGACCCTGAAGGGCACAAAGGACTGAAGTTACCACAGCATAAAAATGCCAGGAGTTTAGGAACTACTGAGCAAATGAAAGACTGATGCAGAAGCAAACACCTTCACAGAGCATTTCTATTCTGTTCTAGCCTCTAGGCAGATTCATCTTGCTCGCTCTTTTTATTTCATGCATATTGATTCTAGGACTGTTTTGTACAGCTATCCGCTGTATCTCCTGACAGAAAAAAGTGAAGGCATATAGATGTGCAATTACACTAGTCCAGCAACACAGCATGATGCATACAGTGAATAAAACACATTCTTTACCAGAGGTTTGAGCTTTCAGCAAACAGTGTGCCCTAATTTGCCCTAATGTTCTGTCCTCTGAGCTATGGCAGTGATAAGCAGATGATGGTGCAGGGGGCTCCAGCCGAGCTGAATGGAAGCATACTGAGTTCAAAGCACTTTAGCTTTAAAGCAAACCCCTCATTAAGAAACATGCAATGCAATATTGACTATGGTAAGGATAGAGGCAATGGCAAATGAAGACAGCATTGGTAAAAATAGCACACATTTACTCCCAACACCAGTATTTAATCCATTATGAAGTCATTTCTTTGCCTTTTTCTAATTCAACATTCCTTTTGAAAGCCTCCTCCAATGCCATTCAATAAAAGCAGCTGTGATTATCTGAGTAGCAGGTTGCAAAGCCTCAGATGGAAGAAAAGGTGGTTATTCCAGTGGCAGCCCTAGGAAGCCCAGTGTCTACTGCCCTTCGAGCCAAGAGGCCACCTTTGGATGCTTTCTGAGACCTGGTTCCTCCTGCTATCACACTTAACCTTTATATGAAGTGTTCTCCTTCATTTAAAATGAGCTATAAAATAAGAGGCTTCAATAAATACAGCACCTGCATCAAGTGGGATTTGAGTGTATAAATGTCTCCAAATAGTCCTTATTAATGGTAGCCTGGAGCCACTCCTGTAGCAACAAAGTCCTCAAGTCTAATGAACCATTACAATGAAGAGAAACAGTGACTTGGTCTTAATTCCACCCTCTAGAAACGTTCTCATTGAAGTTGTCTTACTGAGGAATTATTCTAAATATATATAAGGATATTCTCTCAATTCTAAATGTGTACTGTAGCCTAGAATTTTAAGTTTCATAGGCTTTCCCTTGATTTAGTAGAATTGACAACTTTGGTGATCTATATTTGGAAATTTCCAAAGCAGATATCTTACTCCATGTAAAATACTGGCTCCAGATTTTTTGTTAAGTGATTGCTATTTTTCTGTGACCTCATAATAGTTAAATTTAGGACCTGGAATTGCCAACACTTTGCTTCAGCAGAGGTAAAACTGCTACTTGTGCAGAAGCCAGGGAGGAGGAAACACAGAAGCCGTCCAGGCGGCGTTCATTCATGTGATACAAGCAGCCCTCCCCACCATTTTGCACCTGCTCTTGCCTACTGTCTGGATCTGGCTCTATTGTAACATTCTATACCTTGGTCTTATATTCTCTTATTGGTCTTACATTCTCTTGTTGGTTCTTCTATCAAATTGTTTTTCTCCTGAGAATTTTCTTGCCTTGCGTTGTTCTATAGCTCCAGCATATGAACAATGCTGGTCACACAGTAGGCATTTAATTATTGCTTTTTACATGAATACTTAATGAAAATCATATCTAAACTTACAGAACTACTGATCCATCTGGGAGGAATCTTAATCAATGCCACATGTGATGAATAAGGAAACATATCGACTGCCTAAAAAATCCATGTCTGGAGTAGCAGACCCAGGAGCAAAACTCAGGAAAACCTGCCCCCTCGCTTTGGCTGCTTCACTTGTTTGCAAAGCTCCTTCAGATTCAGCGTGCATGTGAGCCGGAGATTTGCCCTGAGGTGGAAATATGGGCAAGCAGTGCTTGCCTGAACTGCCAGGAATTCTAAAGCTGCACCAGGGTTCAGAAAGAGAGAGACAGAGTGCCACTGTTGGTTGGTGATGATTACTGCCTGAGGGTGTGAGTGTGTTGGCGGTTGTGGAGGGAGGGTTTGAGGATCAAGGGCCACACACATTTAAATAAGCTCCACGTCTCTGAGCACCTGCTTTGTGCAGGTCATTGTAGCACAGGGCTAGGGGTGGCATTTGAAAACAAATGAGGAACCTACCTAGGATCAAATATTAAGCAAGCTGGAAAGCTGTCATGAGTTTATGAAATGGTCACTGGACTCTGAAAAGAAACGCGACATCCAAAAATCTGGGATTGAGTTCAGAAAAATCTCATTTAGCAGCTGTGTAATCATGGGAAGGTTACTTGAAGTCTCTGAGCTGCGGTATCTTAGAAGGTATTAGGGAGAATGCCTTTAATAGTCAATAATAGACTAAAGATAGCGTATGTCGTAGAATAATTTACTGTCTCATTTAACCCAAAGTAAAGAAGTAGGTACTCCTAGAATTGGTGAGCTGCATAAACTGTTGATAACGTAAAAACACAGGGACCTCCCCGCTTTGACTCTGTCACATTAAGGATCAGGGTGTTAGAAGTGCCTCCACAGCAGTCACAGGGTGGCTGCACCAGCTCCAAAAGTTCAATGCACACACAATGATAATCCAAAGCAAAAAATGGGGAGGCAATGGGAAGCCTCTCCTTGTTGGTCTCTCATTATTAGGAAAGAAAATATATCCCAGAAATTTCGCTACAATTCACTGGCTGGAATTGATGCCTTCACCCACACCCCCAAGTCAATCCACAGTGAGGGGAAGCCACCTGCACGGTTGGTTAAGAGGAGCAGGATTCATTCCCTGGGGCCTGGCCCACTGCGGCGGCAGACCTGAATAGAGTGGGAACGCTGAGAGTAAGGAGGAAAAGGAATTGGTGTTTGTTAGGAAACCTATCCACCAACCTTTCCTGAGGCTTGAGGTGATGGGAACCGAAGTGCACTTGGTCAGCTATAAATCAGTATACGAGGTAAAATTATTTTCATCATAATTATTTTTGCTGACAGTGAGTGTTTGTACCTGGAGCATTTCACCTCATTCCTTCACTAAGAGAAACTCCATAATAATAGGTTATCCAAGAAAGGGAAAAGTATCCATTTTTTTCTTGGTTTCTGACCTTAGGTAACAGATCTGGTAGCTAGGACAATGAAAGCCTCTGTGCATGTTCTCCAAGGGCACTGTGTCCTGTGCCCAATGGAAGGCAAGAGGGTGATGGAGAAGAAGCGTGCAGGGCAAGAAGCAGAGCTGAGGCATGAATGGATGTTACCTGGGGGCTGCCCCACTCCTGCCAGTCACCCTTCCCTGGGAACATTCCATACACATGTGTCTAGTCTGTGTGGCCCAGCCCGCTGGTCAGAATGAACTGGTCCCAGGGAGGACACTGGACTGCAGCTGGTGCAGTCGTTTCCTCTTGCCTTGAAAATTGGGAACGGAGAGACACAAAACTAGAAGTTGCTGCAGCAGAACACCCTACAAGACAGAGCTGGAGCTGTGGTAGGAAGGCCCCTGTCCTCCAGCTCCTGAAGTTCCTAGCATGGCCCAGGCCCTTTAGATTTCACGGGAGACTAACAGCGTGCTTATGAGGAGAGTAATTGTGAACTAAACAAGCTGTTCTCTCATCCCCTACTCCCCTTTTTCCTTTGATATTGTTCACCTTTGACCACTGACCCACCACTACTGACACTGGGTCAGTGGGTCTCTTCCTACCTTCAGAGTTTCAAAATTTTAGGTTCTGAGGTGAGAATAGAAATAATTCCACACACATAAAATAAATTTGGCAGTCCAATCTTTTCTCAGGTTGATAAAGAGTATCTGTCTGGGTAGAGGAGAATCCCAGGGAAATCAATGAGGGCTCAGATGCTGATGGTTTTTGCCACCATGTACACACATTCTCACACACACATACATGCATGCACATGCACACACAAATCCATGCACATGTTCACACAGATATACATGCACTTGTGTACACACACACACACACATTTACCACCACTCCTGTACCACCCAAAATTGATCCTAGATTGCGGTGATGAAACTCCCAATTTAGTTTGTAGGATCTGAAAACAGAGAAATGGTTTTCTCTTTCCTTGGAAGAGTCATAGGACTCCAGAAGAATGACTGTGCAGGTGACTAGACAGAAAAACATTAGAGTCTCACTGAGATCCTGGTACCTTGGTACACCATAGGAGGAGAAACAATGCACTGGTGTGCAGCCGAGCAAGGAATGATACTGAAGAGGCGACAGCTCCTGGGTCTGAAAAGTCTACAGAGACAACAGAACAACCACTGGCCTGGACCTCTCCACAGATGTTGGTGTGAGCAGAGGGCCCTGAGGACAGAGCCACACTGCAGGCCACTGAGGTCCTCTTCCCTTAGATCCATATGTAAGTCTGAGTGAAAGGCGGTACAGCTAAGGGATAACTGCTGTGGGATGGGGGTTGAAATAGAAAAGAAATGAGTTTTAGAAAGGGAAATAATATTTCTGGCACATATATATATATATATATGTTTGTGAACTGAGATTTATACTCATGATACTTTCAACAAATTTCTTTTTATGCTTAAAAGCCACATAGAATGCAATTTTTCTGGAGGTATTTTTTTTTATTTATTTGTTTTGCTTCAATCAAAATACATAAACCAATACCAAAAGACATCTCATCCAGGTCTTTGTGCTGCAGCTACCAGACAAGCAGACTGTAGGAGTTTTTATTTCCTTCTTTCTTTCTTTTTTTTTTTTTTTTTGAGGCAGAGTCTCACTCTGTCGCCCAGGCTAGAGTGCAGTGGCCCAGTCTCGGCTCACTGCAACCTCCGCCTCCCAGGTTCAAGCAATTCTCCTGCCTCAGCTCCAGAGTAGCTAGGATTACAGACATGCACCACCACACCTGGCTAGTTTTTTGTATTTTTAGTAGAGACAGTGTTTCACCATGTTGGCCAGGCTGGTCTTTAACTCCTGACCTCAGGTGATCTACTCGCCTTGGCCTCCCAAAGTGCTGGGACTACAGATGTGAGCCACCACGCCCGGACTCTCATTTTGTTTTAACTAAAGTTTTTATTGAAAAAGTACATGCATACACAAAATTATGCAAATTGTAATCATCCAGCTTGATGAATTATCACAAATCAATCACCCATGTGACCAACAGTCATACTAATAAATTGAATGTCACATCTCTCAAACCCCTCCCAGTCATTGCCACATCCATTGTTTCCAAGGATTAACACTAGTCAGACTTCCCACATCACTATTAGCTTTGCCTATTACGGTCTTTTATAGCCACAGAATCAGGTATGTATATTCATGTCTGATTTCTTTCATTCTCTTTCTGTTTCTTTCCCTATGCCTCCTCCACCGCACATACAACACTTCTACACTAAATATCCCAGTCATTTCCTACACACTTCTGAAACAGTATACATTTATTCACTTATGATTTATTTTTGATCTATCCACAGTGTAATAATTTTGGACAGTAGTCTCGTCTGCCTTACTCACCACTGCAATTTCAATACATAACAGTGCCTGACATCAGTAGGTGTTCAATAAATATTTGTGGAGTGCATAAATTAATGATTTGAACATTGTCTCCAAAATGTTTCTTTCTACAAATATATGTTCTCAACATGAAAAAGTATTTGGCCATATTTATCTGGCTTCTCTTGTTTACAAACGCTGCCATGTCTTAAAACAATTAGAAATGATCCCTTTTGAGTTTGAAGTTTGCTGTTGACATTAGCATATTTTCAGAATTGGGAGAAATGGCTGTGAGCTCAGAAGCAGACGTTTTTCTTTGTACTTTTGTGCAGTAATCAGCAAATAACATGACTGAAGGAGGCAGAGCATCATGCAGTAAAATGGTGTGCATTTTAGGATGAGCTATGTATTTGATTTGTATAATTTGGAAATGGGAACTTCAGTGATAACTTTAGTCACTGAATAAAACAAAGCTCATGAGACAGGTTTGGCATACTGAGTTGGGTTTTTTACGCTAGCAATAAAAAGGCAATATCTTATTGTGTAGCCTGTATTGTGGATATCTTGAGTTCTCACATTCCATCAACATTTCTATTTAAGGAGCAGGTGACTGCACACTGTATGAGGACTTTCTACTTCTCAATGCATTTTATGCCCTGTGAAATAGCTGACTCTTTCAGTAATAGACAAAACAGCAGGACAACAACTGACCTCCCCCTACTGCCACTTCCACAACCCACACTGAAGGACAAGGTCTACCCCAGGTGCTCACTGGGTAGAAGAGATGCAATACCTGGGTGCCTACTAGAGAAAATCAAAGAGGGAGGCCACTCTGCTGTGGGAGTGACCTTTGACATAAAAACCTACCCAGGAGCAGAGCTCAAACCATTGGTATTCTCTGAATTTAATAAACCCTTCTTCCAAAGGGAGGAACAAGAGAGGTGGTTACAGAGCCTCACATAGCATAACTTCAGATGGAAACTTTCACATCGGTTCTACAGATGGGATCCCTTGGAAAACAGGATTATTTGCCAATACTGTCTCAAGAGCACAGAGATGTTTGTGGAAGTTCCTATTGTGTAAGCCATCCCAACCTGGGCAAAGATAATATTTTTCCCACTCTTAGGTTCTTCCCTATCATGTCTGGGGTCACTAAGCAAGTGGATACTGCCCCTCGCCTGACTTGCTGTTTCCCTCCTGGGTAAAGTCATCATCTGCTGAAATA
Source organism: Homo sapiens (assembly GCF_000001405.40). Taxonomy (NCBI): domain Eukaryota; kingdom Metazoa; phylum Chordata; class Mammalia; order Primates; family Hominidae; genus Homo; species Homo sapiens. The sequence continues at coordinate 107,692,034 of NC_000002.12, forward strand.
GCATTTGTTACCATTCCTGCACCTGCCATGGCCTGGCTATCTGTGGCCAAAGCTTTAGGTAGCATCAATATTTCCTTACTGTCTTCTCTTATGCCTCTAATTTAAAACAAGCTAAAGCAAGAAACAAAACCCAGGAAACAAGAAACATAACGAACATCAAAATTGTGCTTTAAACTCTTTTTCCATCACCCAACCCTAGGAAAGATTTAAGCTTTTAATTAGGTTTTTCGCAACCAAACTTCACCTTTGAGACAGAAATATACTGGCTATTCACAAGACAATATTTTCAAAGTGTATTTCATGATAGAATAATTGTTCAGGATATTAATAGTTGTTCAATAAAGATAGGATCAAATATCATTAGAGGTTATACAAAGAGAGGGTCAATATATTGAAAACATGGGGATGAAGCAGATTTCTTGTAGCGTGGGACTTTATAGAACCTTAGACATGCCCAGATGTGTTGTGATTCTCTAAAAAGGACTGTAGTTGGAAGTAGTTCCAAAATCAACTTGACCACCAAGTACAGTAATTCTAAGAGCATCCTGTGGTTTCCATAACACTCTTTGATCAGTGCTGTTGTAGAGAATAATAATTGAGCAAACTCTCCGTCAGTTAGCACAGCATCAAATTTAATAGCATCCTTGATCCTTCTATCTCCTTTGCTTATATAAATTAATATTAAAGACCTGTTGTAGTTAGGAAGCACATATTTAAACAGATAAGGAAGCAAAGACAATGAGCCAGAAACGGTTTGAAAAGTGATTCAAATTGTTCTTTTTAAAAGAATTATCTGCCTTTGCAAGACTCAGAAACTCAAGGGAAGATTAGTTGATGAGACTGTCCCATTTCATGATCTTTGTTTTCCCTTTGTCCATATTTACAGAATTGAAGAGATATCAGCAAACACTAACTCAGAATCCCATGTACTGAACTGTTTAAAAAGAGAGTAAGTCTATTATGGCAAAGATACCACAGAGGCAGAGATGTGAACTGGAAAGGACTTTTACCTCCTCCACGCATGATATGACAGGGGTGTCTGCTGCTTCATGATAGCCCTGTTTGTCTTAACAAAATATGATGAGTAGCAATGGAGAATCCTGCTAGGAGCAGTAACTGAAACTTCAAAACAGAAAGAAAGAAACAATTATGGTTAAGGGGACTGAATGTAAGGAAAACATTTGTCTTCATACTCTGCTCAAAATGTGTGGATGAGCATATGAAAAAATCCAACCAATAGAGCTATCTAAATCATGAAAGCCTTCCATCTGTTAAATTTTATTTCTTATTATGCTTACCAATGCATGCTTGTTAAATAGCCTCTAGGCCCATGTTAATATCAAGATTAAAAACATAAGTTATTTTAATAATATTATCCAAGTGAGACAGGTGGCAAATCTACCACTCAGGAAGAAATCAAGCCTGGAAACAACATAATAATCCACAGCACAACTGAGAGAAAAATATTCAAAAGCTTCCAACAATTCATGAACTTATTATTAAATAAGATAGACAAAATAACTATTCAGGCGGTTTGTAGTAAATTTCTTAATCGAAGACCATCTTGCAGTATTTTTTATGCTGTGAATCCACTGAAATTTGGCAAAAAAAAAAAAAAGGAAATTAACTTCTTCCTTTTTGTTCCATTAGTTAAGTATAACTGAGATCTAGATAACCTCAGAAAGCGAGGACAGTATTTTCATCTGCATAGCATTCCTTTAAGTCTGTTATTACTCTCGATCCTTCAGTTGATTATTGTTTATTTCTGCCAAGTCAACAGATTCCACTGTAACAGTGCTTCAGTATGTTTTCAAAATTTGAATGTATGTCTATTTCTCTTTTCTACTGTAGGAGATTCTAAACATTATTTGTGTAACAAATCAAAGTTTTCCAATGCCCACAGAATACTAGAGATGTCTTACGTTAGAATCATGAGATCAAAAGTTTAGAACATGAGGATTCTTGGAGATAATCGCATTCCCACATTTTACCATCAGAAAAGCAATGAGGTGCATTGGTATGCAGAGTACTGGGATTTATCTGGCCACACCTCCAAAGGCTAATCCAGTCCCCCATCTTTCCACGTCTGCGTCTGCTCCCACAGCTGATTCCACTCTTCTTCTTCTTTTTTTTTTTTGACATGTAGTCTCAGTCTGTCACCAGGCTGGAGTGCAGTGGCGTGATCTCGGCTCACTGCAACCTCCGCCTCCCAGATTCACGCTATTCTCCTGTCTCAGCCTCTCCAGTAGCTGGAACTACAGGCGTGCACCACCACGCCCAGCTAGTTTTTGTATTTTTAGTAGACACAGAGTTTCACCATGTTAGCCAGGATGGTCTCTATCTCTTGACCTCATGATCTGCTCCGCCTCGGCCTCCCAAAGTGCTGGGATTACAGGCATGATCCACCACGCCCGATGGACTCCCCTCTTCTTACAGCATCAGTTCCTTCCCAGTCCTCACACCACCTGGGCTTCAGGCAAGAAGAGTTTTAATAACCTCCTGTCTCTGGTTAGGTAAGGTTTGAATCAAATCATTCTTGGATTGTTGATTGGGCTGCTGGGCTAAGTACTCAATGGTTTTTGTTTTCGTTTTTAGTTTGGTTTGTTTTTATGATGATTTTATTTAGAATATGGTCGTGCATACACATACATACATGCAAGCACACCCACATATGCACAGCACACACACCCACATGCACTCCACATGCACAGCAGCACACAAACGCACACCACATACACATCACGCACACACACCATGTGCATGGCACACCCACTCACATGTACACCCCATACCCACCCACATGTGCAGCACACACACCACATGCACAGCATACACACCACCACATACTCACATGTACACCACATACATACCCACGTGCACATCACACCCACATCATGTGCATAGCACACATGTACACATGCACCGCACACACACCCCACATGTGCAGCACACACACCCACATGCATACCACACACACCCACATGCACACCACACACACCCACATGCACACCACACACACCCACATGCATAGCACACACACCGCAAGCTTTCTCATCTACAGGGATAGGCCCTAAACACGGGCAATTTTCTCTTGTCAGTCAGATACTTTGCTGATTGACCTCACTTTTGATTATATTTACTCTGATACCTTATCCCTGGGTTCTGCCTGTCAGGATATCTTAGTATTGGATTCTGGAGAATCTCAAGGGTGATTGAATTCCATAATCCAAAACCCAAGCTATTGCTGCCTGACTGAGCCGCTGCTTTCAGCCAGGCATACCGCTCTGTCTCTGGCCCCAGGGAGCGTATGGTCCCTGGCTGGGTCTCAGTATAATCCAAACCCCCTCCACCTGCTTAGTCAAGTTATGAATACCTTGCCATGATGAAAAATTTTGAAATATTTAAACACCAATCTTTCTCGAAGTTGGCTATTCTTTCTTCCAAATTCTGTTAAATCTAATAATCCACAAAGACACACCTAAATTGACAAAGATGAATGCCTTTCAAAGAAATGTAAAAATTATTTTGTAGTCTAAAATATATTTTCTCTATGCAGATAAAGCTCAAATAACCGAGGATTTATGTCACATCTTCTTTAAAAAGTGTGTTCTCATAAGATAGAGGCATATGCTGCACAGTGAAATGCCAGAATTGAGATTAATTAGCCCAGAAATCAATGCACAGAAGTGCACCTAAGATTCATACGTCCTCATGCCTTGAGCTAATGTAAAGTAGCATTACTCAAGGGAAAAATAATTTCCAAAAGAACTGAATATATGAAACTGTTATCCCATGACAGAAAGTTAATAGGCAAGCGGAAGGTGTTATTTGGTGGCTGTGACAAAGCAGTATGAGAGATTCTAAATTTTTAAGTGTTCTTTTTTTGTAAATTAACTTTACCCGTCAGAAATTTTTCCTGTAGAGGAGAGCTGAAGATCGGATGTCTCTCAAAATCAGAGAAAAAAATGAACCCAAAGGCAGCAGGGCTAGTTATGTCTGGCAATCACGAGGAACCTGAACAAGTTCAGTTTATTATTCACTAGGAAGTTAGGGAGTCACAGAATGAACAGATGTATAAATTTCTAGTACAAGATATTCAGCTTCTATTACATGAAAGCAGGCTGAAGATTTTAGGGTGTTTTTCTCAGAGGCCCCATAGTGCCAAAATGTAAACCAAGAGAAAACTCTAAATAAATTGCTTTGGGATTATTTTAGCTTTCATATTATAATTTAAGCCAACATTTGCGTGTCAAAATCTAGACACTCCCAACATTAATTGCAACTCAACCAAGCCACCCATCCAACATATATAACCTGGATCGAAGAGGGCATCACGAAAAAGTGCATGTAGTTATGTTCACAAACACTGTGAATCCTAAATCAGCTCTCCCCAGCCTATTCAGGACACTCATCACGGCTGCTCATTTATGATGCTTGCCATAAGGAGGAAGTGAGGTGCAGTAGAAAGAGCATGAGCTAAGTAGAGAGACCTGTGTATCCTTGAGCAAGTCACTTGACCTCTCTAAACATCAATTGCTTCGTTTGTAAATTAGAAACAAGATCTACTTTGAAGACTTGAGTGCATTTAGAAACACAGTGAGTGACAAAAAGTGAGCACTCAAAAATGCTTGTTTCCTCTGTCTTCTTCAAAATGCGTATGCAAAGGAATACTCTGACAGTGTCACTGAAAATTTCAAAATAGACCTTGCATCCTTTCAATAGCCTTCGTATGCTCTTATTGACCAGGGTCTGTTGTGTGTCATGGAGGAAAAACTTTTTCTCTACTCTGTTAGGTCAGCGTCTAGGGGCCTGTGAATTAAACTAGCAAAAGACAGATTCACAGGAGAAAAATCACACATTTAAAATTAATATTTATGTGCATGAGCATTCACAAAAAAGAAATAATACTCAAAAAGGCAGTTAAACTTGGGGGCCTGTATACTATTTTAATAAAAGAGGTTTGGACTTAAAGGGAAAATAAATTGTGGGGAAGTGACTAGGAAACACATAGGAAGACTAATGGAGGATAAGATTTATTTTAGCAAGGGGTGTTTATGCAAACTCACCTTCACAGCACCTCTCCATCTCTAATGATAAGAATTGTTCTCTTCCTGATGGGAGGGGAAGGGAGTGGGCATTTTTCAGATAGGGAAATTTATGCCCCACTTTCAGACACATAAAAGAAGGCTTTCATACCTCTTCTAGCATGTGCTGATTCTCAAATGCCTGCAGGTCAAAATAATCCTTATGCCAAAGTTCAAGAGTTAAATTGTATAGGTAACTTACTCAGAATAATAGAGAAAGATCCAGAAGAAACATTATTTGCAGCTGTATCCTAAAGACGTGGTGAGGTTTCTGATTTCTGGAAGGCATCTTGCAACTATGTTTAAGTACAATTCAAAGAATGCTTTTACAAGATCAGTTGTTCAGAATAATTGCTTAACCAAACAGAGGTTAAATAAACTTTCAGGTCAGCTTTTCTTAAAACAAAACTGATGTATATGTCTCTGGGATCTTGCCATGCATTTATTCATCATATTCACCATTATGCTATTCTGGGGTGGTCCTGCCAGGCTAGACCTCCCAGTAGTAATGAATATTAATGTTATTGTGGAATGAGGTGTAATCCTGCATGTATATGGAAAAATGCTTCCTATTTTTAAATTTGATTAACCCTTCAGTTAATCAAACAGATAGTTTCCATTTATTTCACTGAGAGGTAGTTTGCTGTAAAATCTTAAGGTTTTGAAAAATTATAAACAGGAGAAATTGCAACTCAGAAATTCTAGGATCCTGTATTCACCTGGGTCACAGGAAGAATCTAACCCACTAAACAACACTAAATAGAGTGAGACTTCCAGGAGACTGTTCCTTCGCAACATCCCCATTCCAGAACAATCTTGCAATCAATTGACACATACAGTATTTTTTTTACTATCAAGTGGGTTCCATGCCTTCTGCTATTTCCAGTTCATCAATGCAAGGTCATTAGTCTTTCCAAGCTATGACACTGGAGAATACGTGTTTCCAAATGGATCTTGGCATAAAGAATCTTTAAGGATTTGTCTCTGTAATCACTGCGATTCATTCTATTATTTCCTTTTTTTTTTAATACTATTTCCACTGATGGCCAGAAAAGAAAATTTCTAGGTTTAAAAACGAATTAATTCCTCATGTTTTGTTGTTTTAGAAGTCAGATGTTGCCTGAAGCCAGGCAGAGACGATAAGGTGTAAATTCAAAGTCTGATATACCTCCAAGTCTTTTGAGTGGACTCCAAATCAACATTATAGAGAATCAAAATGCTGCTACATCCCATAACTCTTGCTATTCCTGTTTCTGGCTTCTTCAGATTGAAGACCACCAGCCGCAATGAATTATGCTGAACTCCATGGTGGTTTTGTGACAGTAACATATGAAGACCAGAATGAGACCACAAAGTCCACTTGAAACTTGAAGTTAGATTTCAGGGCTTGATTTTTAGCAACATGTATGCCTAGCTGGATGCAGCAGTCTCCAGATGTATTTGACAGATATTGTATCCCTGCTTTTGCAATCCTTCAGCTTGTGGTGGTTATTTTTTTTCCCTAGAGCATCTCAAAATTGTAATTAGATTCCTTGTTGTTGATGGCATAAATGGGTTTCAAAAAGTGCTTGTAGCCTTGTTTAATTTCCTAATGAATAAAACCAACAGCACACGCTTAAGACAAAAGATCTTAATCATTTATTAAACATTTACCTGATATCCAAGTTTCTATTAAAATTGTTTTACTATTATTCATAGCTTTTGACAAACCAATAAATAAGAGACCCTTACCCCTGTTTCAGAAGTTCTTTGACTTGCAAACTCAAGTTATAGATTATAATCAGTAAAAGATGATTCATTCTCTTCATTTTCACACACACTCAAAACAGTATCTCTCACTCCTTGTCAGTCTCAAATGCAGGCTTAGTATGCCTACAGGTCATTCCTTGTCTTCTTGCAAACTTATTTTCTTTGACTCAGTGTTCCCAATGAGCGAGGAATGACCTTAATCTGTGATGGAAAACATGACACAGCAGGTATCACTCAGATGACTGAATATCTCTGAATATATAATATGCACGCAATGTCTACTACACAGGGATATAAAAAAGATTGCTAGACAGAAAGAAAGCTTCAAGCAGCAAAGCTTCAAACTTTTGATAGCAATTTTATAACGTCTTCACATCCCCTTAAAATTTAGACCAAACAATTAAAAGACTTTTTTTGGATTATTTACAGTCCATTATGAGCTGAAACCCCCCCTCTCCCCCAATGCATATGCAGAAACCCTAAACACCAATGTGACTGTATTTTGAAACAGACCCTATATGGAGGTAATTAAGGCCAAATAAGGCCCTAAGGGTGGGCCCCTAATTCCACAGGACTGGTGTCCTTATAAGAAGAGGAAGAGACACCAAGGATGTGCAGGCACAGAAGAAAGGCCACGTGAGGACACAGAGAGAAGGCAGCTGTCTACAGGCTGTGGAGTGGGACCTCAGGAAAAATCAAACCTGCTGGAACCTTGATCTTGGACTTCCAGCCTCCAGAACTGTGAGAAAATAAACTTCTGTTGTTTAAGATACTCTGTCTGTGTTTTTTTTTTTTATGGCAGCCTTACATAGTCCATGTAGGGGTTTCACAGATTTTTTAAAAAGTATTGAGTTTGGTTTATATATTTAAAAAGCTAACATAAGAACAATAAAACCTCTAGCTTGTGAATAATATTTTTTACTGTTAATGAACACAATAATTCCAGATTGATGATAATACTATAATGAGAAAACAGACTTTCAAATTCCTTTATGACATTGTTTTTAATACGAAGAGGCAGTGCTTTGAACATGTAAAATTCATAAACAAATCTCATTTATCTGCATGTACAGGATACAGCAATGGCAACCCTACATGAAGGTACCATTATCTCTCGTAATATCATCCAGTCCCCAGCTGTCATCTCCAGATGGCATTTCATGGAGCTGACACCATTCTGTATGGCTTTAAGATTAAGCTAGAAAAAGTTATAATTAAACATAACAAAAATTACTAATAGTCATCCTTTGAAAACAATGCCTGAAAAATGTGAAAAGCAATAAATCCCATTAAAGAGATGAGCATACAATCATAGAGAATTGAAGCCCAAAAGCAGTTCATGGATAGTCTAGGGAGCTTCATCTACATTGTGCAGCTCCATTCAAATGTAAATATTACACTGAAAGGACTTTCAATTTATCTTCCCACTTCCGTTACTTCAGAACAGAGAAATGAAGTCTCTGGTAGCCTAGAGGTTAGGTTAGGGGGGGAGGGGCAGATGACAAAGTTGGTTCATCACAAGGTAAGAGCTCATAGCAGAGAACTTTACTTATAAGGGAGACTCCTGAAAGGCAATCTGTTCAGGGAGTAAATTAGGAAAAAATACCCTGCTCTGAGAACCAGACTATAAGAAGACATTCCTATTTTGATCCTGACTCTGTATGGAGGAGAGAAAAAGAGAAAAAGAAAAAAGCCTTCTTTGACAACGTCAACCTCATATAAATACAAAAGCAAGATAAATACTACATATGTGGCTCTGTGTAACTCCAGTCAAAACTTAAGTTAAATAAATTTCAGGTTTGCAGTGCCTCTAGGTGGCTTTCAGAAGCAAATCATCTCTGTGATCTCTGACCATCTCTGATGACCCCTTTATCTGGTCCAAAGTAATTCCCATAAATGATGTATCAAAGGAAATAAGCTTATAAGAAAACCATAAAGCATTTGCAGAATAAAACATGATGGGCAAAAGTGAGAAAAATAACTCATTGGAGAATTACAGTCATTAATTTTGCAGACAGTAGAATTAACTTTTTCTTTTTTTTTGAGACAGAGTTTTGCTCTTGTTGCCCAGGCTGGAGAGCAATGGCTCGGTCTTGACTCACTGCAACCTCCGCCTTCTGGGTTCAAGCAATATCCTGCCTCTGCCTCCTGAGTAGCTGGGATTACAGGCACCCACCACCACACTGGGCCAATCTTTGTATTTTTAGTAGAGACGAGGTTTCACCATGTTGGTCAGGCTGGTCTCGAACTCCTGACCTAAGGCAATCTACCCACCTCCGCCCCCCAAGTGCTGGGATTACAACAGGTGTGAGCCACCCAGCCCACCAGAATTAACGTTTTTAAAATATAAATATTTAATATGTTTATTAACATAGGAAGATTATGAAAAGTATAATAGAAGCCAGAAATATTTGAAGAACAAAATAGAGCTTCTAGAAGATAAAAATTTTAATAAATGAAATTAAAAACACAATGGAAGAAAACTATAACAGATTTCAAATTGCACAAAAAAACTACTAAGCTTTAGAATATAAAGGAATATTACAGAATGCAGTGTAGAGAGACTAACTGGAAACATGGAGACAGGAAGTAACGGTCAAGAGAGATAGGGGCTTGGTGGAAGGAGCTAAGATATATCTAATAGGATTCCATAAAGTAAACATGGTGAGAATAGGAAAAAAAAATAATTAATGGGTGAGAATTTGCAGAATTGATAAGAGATTCCAATTCTCAGATTTAGAAAGTCCCCCGCTCAAACAAAACAACAAAAAGCTATCCCTAAACACATCACGCCAAAAGAACAATTAGTATGGCAACTGAGTTTTCAAAGCAGTAATGAATGCCATCAGTCAATGAAATAATATATATGAAGCAATGAGAAAAATTAACTGTCCATCTTGTATTGTATGTATGGAAAATCTATGTTTTATGAATTAATAGGAATCAAAAACATTCACAAATCAACAAAAACCTGAGGGATTTTATTTACAAAAGATGCTCATTAAATAAAATTCTAAAGTATATAGGTCAGGAAGAATGAAAATGATACTAGATGGGAGGTCTGAGATACACAGAAAAAAAAGCAAAGAAATGCTAAACTGATAAACATGGGTAAATCTGACATGCATTGACTATAAAACAATAACTGTGTTCAAATAATGGGGTTAAAAACAAAGCTGAAATAGAGTACTAGACATCAATAGTATACAGTTCGGGCAGACAGCAAGAATGAGTGATTCTGAAGTCTACTTGTTTCTCAAAAGAGGCGCAGGGATATTGCTACAATTATTAAAATTTATAAAGCAACTCACAAAAGAACAGAAGCAGAGAGTGCAACTTCCAAAGCAGCAAAGAGAAAAGAAATGTGAACAAAATGAAGCAGTCCTAAAAGTATGCTAGACATGAGAAATCATAGAGAAGATAGAAAACTACAGAAAAACAAGCTACAAAATAATGTGATGGAAATTTCATCTAAAAATCTTAGAAATTACATTAAATATTCTTTGACAAAATGTCTTTGTTAAAAAATACAGATTGTCAGGTGTACATTTTAAGTTTTCATGTTAATAAAAGGATAAAAATAGTCAAATCAAGTCTAAAATTAAGCAAAGGAAGATGATGTAGCTATGTTAATAGCAGATAAAACAGACTTTAATAAAATAAATTTAAGAAAAGATTTTCTGATAAAATTCCCCACAAATAGAAATATATGTAATGTTGAGAAAGCTACAAGGCAACTTTGTTATTCCACCATTTGACCGGAAGACATTCACACTTTCATGTCAATATCTAGAGGTTTTGTCAGACAAAAACTTGGTGGGGCACAGGAGATTGGGAGGACACTATTAACAAATATGGTTTAGCGTCTGGTAGAAATGCATAAGTTTCTTCATCCAATAATGGGAAATTGTATATCAACTTCAATTTAAAAATGGAATATAAATATGGATTCTACTACATTATGAAGCAAATCTAAGCACATGTTAAAGTTTTATTGTTATGCAGCCAGTGGCCTCTAAAATGAAAATAAATTAGAAATCTATTATAAAATATTTAAAATAAAGTAGTCTTTAACATTGGAAACTGTACTCCTTAATAATGTCAAGGGTAAGAAAATAAATCATAATGGAAATATAAAATACTCAGAAATACATATCAAGGTTTTAATAACCAGGCATAAACAGAACATATCCCCCAAAAAAAAGCAAATTAGAAAACTGTTGTGAATGTGACGAGTTAGACAAGAACTAATTGAAAGAACTTCCAAATTCTTAGATTGGAAGACTCAGTATCAAAAAGTGGTCAGTTTTCCCTAAAGATGTTTATAAATTTATTACCATCCCCCCAAAATGGCATTTTTTTTTCTGGTGCTAAAAACTTAACTGCAAACTTTCTCTGGACATGGGTGAACTCCTCTAGAATCCATGAGTGGGAAGAACTTGCTTAGTGATGACCTAAAATGCATGGAAAAGAGATTGTTAAATTTAATTTTACAGAAATAATTTTTAAAGTAAAGCCTTATTTTGTGTCAGGTAGGCTCTTTGGCACTTCAGAATCATTTTTTCCTCTAATTATCGCAGAAACCATAGAAGATAGGTTTAACATCCAAATTTTACAGAAGAGAAAGCTGAATCAACATCAGTTTACATAATGTCCCCAAAGTTCCATCCTAATAAACTGATAAAAGTTCATTCAACCCTCATGTAATTTTACCACAGTACCCATGTACTTAGCCAGTATACTCGTATGACTACCAATAATTTAAGAAATAGGCTAAACAGTAAAGAAGAGGACTGGAGAATTATATTACTCCAGAAGTAAAATTGCCTCGGAGCCTTCAGTAAAATATAGCACAGCAAAAATAATTTTTTCCTGCTTTATTTGTTTAAATAAACTGAAAATTATGGAAAGAAAAACCAAACAAAAAGATTACATAAAAAACAGAGTTTTAACCCCAATGTAATTAAAAGGTAGTACCCAAACTTAAGCACCACCAGTAAGCAAGGCTTGATTGCAATGAGGATGGGTACAGCGTTGAGGGAAGGAGGGTCTCCACACTGGCTCAGGCTCATTCAGACCTCTGATGGGGCAAACATTCTGCAAAGGTAGTTGTCATGCTCATAAGCAGCAATGCCTTGCAATGTTCTGGGGGCTCGAAGCTTTTGTGACTTTTCTCATCATTGCTGAGTAGTGGGATGATCAGATAGAGGTAGTAAATTAAAAAATAGAGAGCAAAAATGATTTAACAAGAAGCTGCGTACTGACTGGGGGTCCGGGGAAGAGAAAGAGTGGCAACCAACTTTGCAGCTGCTAATCTTAGTTGTCTGCCAAGATCTAAGGCTAAATCATCCAAAGAAAGAAATATCCCAAGAACCCTCCTGGGTAAGGAAGGTCAGAAAAAAATACAGCAAATGGTAAAGTCCAGCAATGACGTGCAGGCTGAAGAATTCAAGGAGAAGTGTACAAATGCCTGCAAGGCCCTTTGAAATGCATCTAAAAATAATATAGATTGATGATTGGAGAGAAGGATGAATACATTGATAGATACATAATAAAGCTAATAAAATGGTAACTGCAGACTCTAGCCAGTGGGTACACAGGTGTTCATTGTACAATTTTTTCAACTTTGATGTATGTTTCTACATTTATATAATAAAATGTACAATAAGGAACTGTGTCAAATAAGTCATTTCTTAAAAAAAAAAACAAAGGCAAAGCTGAAAATTATGTAGACACAATAAAAACTCAAACAACAGTCTGCCTCAGATCATCGTGCTGATCTTCCAAATTTCAGCAGGGATGGTTGGTTTTCCTGCAAACCTCGAAACAATCCAATTTAGTGACAAGTAATAATTAGAGCGTAGCCATTGTGCAACCTTTGCAAAGTTGTTGAAAATATAAAGAAAAGAGAGTAAACACAAGAAATAAGAAAAGAAGTGAAGAAAATCCACCAGTAAACAGTACTCTGAAGGAAATAAAATGTATAAAAACAATAAAAGCAAGCAACAAGACCATCATTTTCCATGAAAGCAAATATATTTAAATTAGTTTCTTTCAAACAGAAACTAAATATAAGATACGAGGGATCAATTAAGGAATTTTTTTTTCTTTTTTTTTTTTCTGAGACAGAGTATAGATAGCTCTGTAGCCAGGCTGGAGTCCAGGGGCATGATCTCCGCTCACTGCAACCTCCACCTCCCAGGTTCAAGTGATTATCCTGCCTCAGCCTCCTGAATAGCTGGGACTACAGACACGCGCCGCCACTTCCAGCTAATTTTCATTTTTTAGTAGAGACAGAGTTTCACCATGTTGGCCAGGATAGTCTCCATCTCCTGACCTCGGCCTCCCAAAGTTCTGGGATTACAGGCGGGAGCCACCGTGCCCGCCCTTTTGTTTTTTGTTTTAGTTTTTGTTTCAGTTTTGTTTTGTTTTGTTTTTTTTTTTTGAGACGGAGTTTTGCTCTTGTCGCCCAGGCTGGAATGCAATGGTGCAATCTCGGCTCATTGCAACCTCCGCCTCCTGGGTTCAAGCGATTCTCCTGCCTCAGCCTCCCGAGTAGCTGGGATTACAGGCGCCCGCCACCACACCTGGCTAATTTTTACATTTTTTAGTACAAATGGAGTTTCACCACGTTGGCCAGGCTGGTCACAAACTCCTGACCTCAAGTGATTTGCCCGCCTCGGCCTACCAAAGTGCTGGGATTACAGCCGTGACCCACCGCACCCAGTCAGGTTAAGGATTTAAAAAATATATATGAAGAGTAAACTAGCACAGATTAGGAAAGAAACAGAAGAGAAATATAAAATCATTCCATAATAAAAGTAATATTATAAGAGTCAATTAGGAGAATAAACTCTTGAAAACAGGTAAGATAGTTAACAAAGAAAAAAAGGCTTGAGAAAAATGTGCCTCATAAACTGGAAGAGGATCATAAAATATTACAGGATTGAAGATGGAGTGATTGTTCTAGAAGAGAGAGAAATGATATTTTAAAAACTCTAATAATAACTGTGGATGAACTAAAAACATAAATGGAAGAACAAACTTATTCCCACATATAATTAAAAAAAAATTCTATAAAAAAAAAAGATCCACATGTAGAAAATGCAGAATAGTTCAGGAAAAAAAAAATACAGAATTATCAACACTTACACATAACTTGGTGAAATAATGTTTGAAAATATAAAGACAAAGCCATGTCATCCTGAGATAATGTAATTAATTTTAGTCATATGGTTTCCATTAAAAAATTTATAAACGGGCTGGCTGCCGTGGCTCATTCCTGTAATCGTAGCACTTTGGGAGTCCAAAGCAGGAGGATCACTTGAGCCCAAGAGTTTGAGACCAGCAGAGGCAACATGGTGAAACCTCGTCTCTACAAAAAAAATATATATAGAGAGAGAGTATATATATATATACACATATATACACACACATATATATACACATATATACATATATACACATATATACATATATACATATATACACATATATACATATATAAACATATATACATATATACACATATATACATATATACACATATATACATATATACACATATACCATATACATATATACACATATACACATATACACACATACATATACACATACATATATACATATATGCACATATACACATATATACACATATATACATATATACACATATATACATATATACACATATAGAGTATATAGAGTATATATAGAGTATATCTATAGAGTATATATGTATATAGAGTATATAATACAGCCTACCATATATATAGTATACATATATATATACTCTATATACTATATATATAGTGTGTATATATATAGTATAGACCCTACCATATATATATATAGGAGTATATATATATACACACTCCTACTATATATAGTATGTATATAGAGAGTATATAGAGTATATATACAGTATATATACACAGTATATATATGCCATATATAGTATCTATATACTTATATATAGTATGTATCTATATACTTATATATAGTATGTATCTATATACTATATATAGTATGTATCTATATACTATATAGAGTATATATGTATATAGAGTATATATGTATCTATATATATACTCTATATATAAATACTATATATATACACTCTCTATATATATACTGTCTCTCCCTCTGTCTCTCTCTCTCTCTCTCTATATATATATATATATGTATGGTAGGGTCTCACTCTGTCATCCATGCTGGAGTACAGTGGCACAATCTTGGCTCACTGGAACCTCTACCTTCTGGGCTCAAGAGATCTTCCCAACTCAGCCTCCCAAGTAGTTGGCATTACAGGCACTGGCCACCATGCCCTGCTAATTTTTGTATTTTTTGTAGAGACAGGGTTTCACCATGTTGCCCAGGCTGTTCTTGAACTCTTGAGCTCAAGCAATCTACCCGCCTCGGCCTCCCAAAGTGCTAGAATTACAGGCAGGATCCCCCATGCCCAGCCAAAAAATACTTTTATGAATGCCAACTATCAAACTGGAAAACTTGTTTAAAAAATAAAATATCAACTATTGGCAATGAAAAAGATCCTTCACACTCCTTTTCCTCGAAAGAGAAAAATCATACAAACCTTTCACAATACTCACTACTTTTATAAAAAACCAAATCCAAATCCCAGGAAAAAAATTTGTGAAACAGTTGTTCAAAGCCTAACAATTAGGAGCATTATGACTGCAAATTTCTAACCATGAGAGAATGATTAACTGTGGCATATACACCAGGAAGAGTATTATACAAAGTTTAAAAGTAGTGCTTCAAATACGTAAAAAAGAAATAAAATATACATGAGATAATATTGAGAGGCAAAAATTCTTTATACAATACTATAATAAACTGTATAACTATATATACTATATAACTATAAACTATAAAATAGTTTATAGAATACTCAAGCATTAGCAAATACATTGGAAAGTAAATTAAAATAATAACACAATGAAGCAAAGTTGGGCTGATCCCAGAAACCAAAAGATGTTTCAATACTAAAACTTCTAAAATTAGATCAATAATACACAAAGGTAACTGGATAAAAATGATAAAACATGTAACTATAAAACAAGTCATCATTAATATAGATTGGAAAAAGCACTGGACAGGATACATAATGTGTTCTGGACTAAAACGGATATATAAGCAGGTTCCAGTATGTATCAAGCATGTCTTTTTTCTTTCCTGATGCTTTGAAATCTTGGGTCCTTGCTGACCCTGGAACAACTGCCCTTCTCAGGGCCAGCCAATTCTTAGAGGTAGCACAGGACTCACCCACAAGCATGACCTTCATATGCAAACCAAGCAAATCCAGAGTCTACACTTCAACCACCTCCTTATGGAGCTCTTATGCTTTAGGCCACTATCCACCTAATCTAATCATTCCAGGATCAGGTACCAGACAACTAGGGCCAGGCCCTCTACCCCAGAGCCTGTTGAAATTATTCAAACTAGGAATAAGTGTATAAGAACCAAATTTCTTGCAGATCACAACTATAAACTCTGGGCAAAACAAATAAGCAAGCAATCAAACAAACACGAAACATGCTTTAGGGCTCTCAGGAATAAACAAAAGCAGGATGGTATTTGAGGGGTGTAAAAATTTAGAGAAAGCAAGGAGAGAATGAGGAGTTAATTTCCTGCATCTGTGATGTTGATCTGAGGATAGTCACAGTCACAACGTAGCACAGGTTGATAAAACAATGTAGAAAGCCTATAATTTTTCTGACCAGAGACACTAGGGAAGGATCTTGAAACACCAGACCTACTAGAAAGTAATGGGGCAAATCTAAAGTGAGAAAATCAGAAAAGGAGAATTCCACACTCTGTGCATATAGGGGTTTGTGCGTGTTTTTGTTTGTCTGTGTGTGTTTGTATGTGTGCATTTGTCTAGATATGTTACCAAGTCTCTGGTGGGCCTCAAGCATACCTGTAGAAGACTGTAAGATGCTCATGTTGTGGTCCACCACAGGCAAGACAGAGCTTGCAGTCTGCAGTCTGAGTCTAACCAAGTAAAATAGCTGCTAAAACAAAATCGTCAATAGGCTTTGAAGGAATGTAACAGAATCCAGAGCATCCACAACAAAATATTCACAATGTCCAGAAGATAATCCCAAATACTCAATATACGAACAACCAAAAAAATGTGGTTTATCTTTCTTAAGGGAAAATAAAATCAACAACAGCAAACCTTAAATTAACACAGATGTTAGAATTACCAGACAATAACTTCGAATGCTCTTTAAAAACTAAACTTGAGAAGGATAATAATAATAGTATACATGCTTCTAATAAAATAAGAGACAAAATATCAGCAGAAAATTAAAATATATATGAAAGAGGCAAATTAAAATTTTTAAAAAATATATACACTTTTATATTTAAAATTTCACCAGCTGGATTTAATAGATGATGATATTAAAATAAACTATGAGACAAATTGAAAATAAATCAATAGTAATTAACAAAGAAATAGCAGCAATGATAAAAATAAATGAAAAAGGAAAAAACATTAAAAAAATGAGCCAAGCCAAGGGCCTATAGGATAATGTCAGAAGGACTAACAAATAGATGATAAGCTCAGCAAATTAAAAACAGAATAAACATGAAGAAAATCATGAGTCAAATGATGAAAAGAAAAAAAGCAAAGCAAAACAAAATCAAACTTTGACAGTTGCCAGAGAAAAACACTTAAATCAAATGGTAAAAGAATTTATGGCACTATGAACATTGCTTCAGGAAGTATTAACCAGTGATATTGAAACAAGTCTTTCAAGTACTGAAAAAAAATGCAAACCCAGAATTCTATACCTGGCAAAGATATCCTTCAAAAATGAAGCCAAAGATACCAACTAGATTGATGTTAGTCAAAGTGGAAGAGTAAGAATCTCTGAAAATTTTCTCTCTGGTATAAGCAAGGGAAAAAACAAACAAAAAAAATGTTAGAAACAATTTTGTCAACACTCTGGAAAAGAGCCAAAGGCTTACAGCAACCCAGAGAGAATTTAGTTAAAAACAAACAAACAAAAACCCAGCAAATCATGGTAAGAAAAGTGACAGTGAGCTTTGTTGCATTTTAACTTAACCTAGTCTCCTCTACCACTCTCCAGTAGCCTTAAAAACTAAAGCTTGCATTTTTGGTACGAAAGAGAGAACAGATCAAGCTCTTGAAAACCCTCATCTTCAAAGAATAGTCATTTTTTTTATCTGTCTCTGACTCCTAGGAAGACCTCACTAAATATGCTTGTCTTTATTTTTCCTCACTCCTACTCACCTAGTTCTAAAAGCCTCTCCTCAGGGATTGTTTGTTGATAACAAGACTGCCTGAAGTGAGAGATTACAGTTGGGAAAATAAAAGTCTAACCAAAAAGCTTAAAAAGAAAAGCTGAGAAATAAAATGACCATAGGGGTTTTGAAATTATCCGACATATTCATGGGAATCTAGAGGTCACACATGTGCATAGGGCTGTGTGTGTTTTCAGGAAAGACTGGAGAAGACCCTACTCTCACCTTTGGCTGACATTGAGGCTCTGTACAAACAGCATTCTAAATGGCCTGACCAAGTGTTGAAGACATGCCCCAACACACACACAGCCCCCCTGCAGGCTGAGAGACTTATGGATCCCAGCATTCCAAGAAATCACTGTCCACTCAACAGATGACATGTAGAATAGGAAATTCGGTGGCCACACTTGACAATGATACAGATTTTATAGAATTAGCTTGGAAACACTAAACACACAAACAACAAAAAATTAAATAAGCAAAAACAGTAAAAGCAAATGTATGAAAAAGATATACTATGTAAATAGTAATAAAAAGAGAGCTGGAAAACATACAAATAACAGAGAAAATAGACTTTCAGACAACAATTCTTACATGAGGCATGTAACAATATTTTAAACAGTAAAATGGTTATTCCATCAAGAAGATATAAAAAATTTAAACATATATGCATGTAAACATATATGCATGCACACAGTACATGAAGCCAACAAAATGAGTTAAAGGGAAAAATAGACAATTCAATAAGTGGGATATTTCAAAATCTTAATTTTAATAATGGATATAATAACATAGAATATTAACCTGGAAAAAAGACTGGAAAAACATTGTATCCAAATAAATCTTACAGACATCTATAGAAATAGAACAGTCCACCCAGCAATAACAGAACACACAGTCTTCTCAATTGCACATGGAACATTCCCCAGGGTAGACCATATGTCAGGCCTTAAAGCAAGTCTCAATACCTTAAAAAGGAGTGAAATGACACTATGTTCTGTGACAACAATGGAATGAAATTAGAAAGGAGTAATAGAAGGATATTTGGGAAATTAAACAACACACTCCCAAATAAACAAATCTCAAATATAATTGTTGAGAGCATTAGTGAGCCAGAAGCTGCCTGTTGGACATGAACAGAAAGAGATACAGGGAAGAGGGCAGATTGAGAGTACAAAGAGGAAAGAGCCCTCTTGCCATACGGAGGAAGTGGGAAGTACATGATGTACAGCTGAGGATTTTGTTTAACTGCCTATGAAACAAACAAATTGGAACAAATCACTCAGTATAGAAAAACAAAGAAACAAACAACACCTTAGTCTCTATTTATGTATTTGTTTTGAGTGGGTAAAAATTGTCAGTGTTTATATGGTAACTAAGTTATAGGCAGACATTTTTATCTTATTTCTCCAGTCTGTGAGAATTTCAAACAAGATCTGAAATTTTAGAGACCTAAATATGATGTGAGGTATACAGTCTAGCTAAACTTTATATAAAATGGAAACTTTTATTTTCCATTTAGAGAAAACATGTTGAATAATGAAATTGGCACTGTTAGTATAGCCTTCTGAAATACTCGAAGTGGCATTCTTCTGAAAAAGGAATATGAAATAAGTAAACGGGCTTTTTTCTTTAAAAAATAAGGTTTCTAGCGATATTTCTAATCTGTTATATTTATAAACACAATGTCTTAAGTCAAGTACATGTTTGCAACTCATCTTTTAAATATTGTCTTGCAATAGACATGTATTTCAAGTAAGTAAATTATAGCGTAAATTTAGACATCCAATTGGAAAATACTTTCATTGCATTTCTGAAATGTGAAAAAAATGCTATCTTTTCATGGGCCAGAAGCTCTGTCCATGTGTATGTATGCACACATGTATGTGTGCACGTGTGTGTGACATTTCACCATGCATGTTCATGCCCACTCACATACACCTTACAGACACCTATAGAACAGTCCACCCAGCAACAATAGAGCACACAGTCTTCTCAGTTGCACATGGAACATTGCCTAGGACACTGTGTTCTTTTTTATTTCAGAGGAAAATCCAGGTGTAGCTTGTGATGGGTGTAATCTGCACTTCAACCACAGTAAAACGTTAGAAATTGCTAGGCACTTGTTTCTATTGGTCTCATCTTCCTTTAACGTCTAGTCTAGTTGTGGCCAGTGTTGATCTTAGTAAGAATAGGTCAGGAACAACTGGAACCCATGTTGCTTCGCTACAAGGGATGGTAATCTTTGTGTAGAATCTGGCTGAGTAGGTGCTCTTTGCCCTCCTAAATAACGAGGTTTACTGAGTGTAACAATAATTTACAGAACTCTTCCTTCAAAGCAAAGAGTTTGTAACTTGATGTCAAATAATGCCACAGCAAATAGTATACAGCTTTAATGGTTACAGCAGCACAAGTTTGGGCTTTCTCCCAGGGTACTAAAAGCAATGTGCAAAAACCTATTTATATATATTCTTTTATTTTTTGAGACAGAGTCTAGCTCTGTCGCCCAGGCTGAAGTGCAGTGGTGTGATCTTGGCTCACTGCAACCTCCACCTCCTGGGTTCAAGCGATTCTCCTGCCTCTGTCTCCCAAGTAGCTGAGATTACAGGCATGTGCCACCATGCCCAGCTAATTTTGTATTTTTAGTAGAGACAGGGTTTCACCATGTTGGTCAGGCTGATCTCAAACTCCTGGCCTCAGGTGATCCACCCACCTTGGCCTCCCAAAATGCTGGGATTACAGGTGTGAGCCACCACGCCCTGCCTTATATATGTTCAAATATATATACACTATAGCAATAGTGGGAAACAAGAACAAATGTAACGTGAAAGAGAAAGTGAAAGTCCTCAAACAAGAGGACTGCCAAATACAAGTATTTGTAACCTGAGCAGTCACAAAGCGTAGTAACGGGCTTTGAACAACTTACGGCGTGATACCATGACCTTTTGCAGCATACCTAGGAAGGAGAGGAGCAGAGAGAGAGGAGAGGAGAGGAGAGGAGAGGGATATGGAAATGCTGAGGATACAAGAGCAGAGCAAAGATGACTTAGCCATTCACCCCTGGCTGAAGTGCCAAGGTCAGGATTAGTTATAAAACAACAATAATACCCACAAATTGTATGTGGCTTAGGTTTTGCATAAATACACAAAGGAAAACCAAAAGCCTAATGATTTATTTACCAAATGAGCCAATTATTCTCTTCTATTAAAGAGCCCAGTTGCAGAATTATAATCACATGTGATCTGAAATAGCAATAGTCTACTAGACTATTAATTGTCCGGTTTTAGGACTAGATTCCAAATAGAGATGAATTGTGCTTGCTTTTCAAACCAAGGTGAGGTAGACGGCCGTATGAGCAACCCCCAAAAGTGGTTAAGTTTAATGTCACTCTCCAAATCCCCAAATTAATTAGAATTTCTGCAGTTCATATACTTTTCTCCAATATGCATATTAAAGATATATGTTCATCTACGTTTGGATTATGAACAAAAGCATCTTTATAATTGAATATAATAAACTCAGTTTATGAAACATAAATTTTATATATATATGCAACTAAAAAGTATCCTGCTTTTAAATCCCCAAACCTATAA
Source organism: Homo sapiens (assembly GCF_000001405.40). NCBI lineage: Eukaryota > Metazoa > Chordata > Mammalia > Primates > Hominidae > Homo > Homo sapiens. Next base: position 107,713,759 of record NC_000002.12, read on the forward strand.
CACGTTGGAAATTTATTCAAATTTTAAAAGCAATTCAAGTTCTGAGAGAATATTCTTTATGCTTTTTCTTGTTTCTAACTAGAATATTGGATTTTTCCATATATTTAATCCTATCATAATATTTTCATTAATATAAGAAAAGGGACAAATTATCTCTGGTAATTACTTTTAAAAATAGAAAGTATCAAACTACAAATTAATTAAGCAAATTTTTTAATGTTCTTAAATATGGAAAAAAAATTATGTCAAAGAATCCCTATAAAAGCATAGGCTGCAAAAGGTATATTAGCTTGTTATTTTTCTAAAATTATCATTGTAGTAATAATTTCAGAGGTCCATTTACTATTAAATATTACTTAGTGTCTTGGAAAGTTAATCTTCTGAGTAACTTAATGTTCTAGTTAATTTAAAGTTAATACATTAAAAAATGTAATTTGGGGTAATGTAGGATGGCCATTAACAAAATTGACATAATGTGTAGGTGACAATCACAGTGATCTATTTTCTGTCCCTTTTATAACTCTCAGTTTCAAACAAGACAGATATACTTAGAGCTTTAACTCTGCCAAGGCCTTGCTGAATAAAAGCTGACACTGTGGTACCTGGAACTCCCTCTTTCTCTACATCAGTGGGGAGCAGGTCGGAGTCACCCAAGGATACCTGGGGTGCGTGGGGCTACAAGACATGTTATTACCGTGCTCAGAGCTCCTGAGCTCCCTCACAGGATGGGGCCCCTGGTTCCTGGCTTTCATCTCAGGGCCTGACTTGGACATTAATTCTGTCTTGAACTGAAATCTAGCTGCCTGAATTTCAGAACTCCTTGCCTAGTCCTTGCCAATAACTTCACGCTAAAGCCTGGTCCTGGTTTTTGGAATTTTAAAATTTAGTTTGTATGGACCTCCTGATCTGTGATTCCAGAATGTGTCTAATTCCCCACTCATGGCTGCCCCCATGTTCTCCCCCGACCCTCTTGGAGGCTGATCCTTACCCAGTCCAGATAAATCTGGGGTTAGCTCAGGCCTCTGAATAGGGAAACATCTCATTTTGGTAAGATCTTCCAGCTCCTGTGCCATGTTGTGCTGACATCTTCATATCTCTCACAAGTGATAACTGAATTTGCTGCACACCTGGGTGCATGTGATTTATCACACTTAACAAACACAATATGTGGAATTTTTGAAGACTGATATTTTTCAAAGATCAGCCCCAATCTCACCCATATCCCAATAGACTTGCTACTGAAGTTTTTGGTCACGAGGATCACTCCTTGGATTAATACAATATTCTTAGATCTATTCCAAAAGTATTAACAGAAAGAAATAACAGTTGTTAACATCCATTATCACATGCAGCAGAGTCCTAAAGAAATAAGGTACAAGATAGGAACAATTTTATTTATTCATTCCAAATATATATCTTGAACATCTGATATATGCAAGTCTCTGGGCTAGACACAGTAAAGAGAAAATGGATTGGTGGTGAGCTCAGAATAAGCTGAAACTTGGTATAATATACAGTTGGTAAATTGTACTAATATTAAAGTTACTATGAGATGAATTTCTACATCACACAGTTATACATTCATAACTATCTCCAAGATGAAAATATAGAACATTCACATCACACTGGAAAACTCCCTCATGAGCCTTCCCAGTCAGTATCCACCTCCTCCCCCACAGTAACCTTTATTTTTATTTCTATCATCACGTATAAATTTTGCCTATTCTTGTGTTTCTTACTAATGTGTCTTGCTTCTTTAACTGAGCATTATATATCTGTGAAATTCATTCATGTTATTATGTCTAATAGTAGGTAATTTTTTTCTTTTTCGTTACTGTGTAGTTTTCCATCATATGGATATGCCACAGATTGCCTAGTTTACTACTGATAGATTTTTGGGCTATTTGTAGTTTAGGGATATTATAAATAAAGCTGCTATGTATATTCTTATACATTTCATTCAGATGCGTACTTCTGTTTCACTATCTCAAGAGTGAAAAGAAAAATATGTAAGTCCACTGTTACAATAGCTATTAATTTATTCAGTCCTGATTTGGGAGACTAGACATCAATTATTGCAAGGCAACATGTTACAAATTAAAATTCATGGCTGTTTGTTTGTTTGTTTGTTGAGACAGAGTCTTGCTCTGTCACCCAGGCTGGAGCACAGTGGTGCAATCTCCGCTCACTGCAGCCTCCGCCTCCCGGGTTCTAGAAATTCTTCTGCCTCAGCCTCCCAGGTAGCTGGGATTACAGACACACACCACCATGCCCAGCTAGTTTTTGTATTTTCAGTAGAGACAGGGTTTCACCATGTTGGCCAGGCTGGTCTCGAAGTCCTGACCATGGGTGACCGCCCACCTCGGCCTCCCAAAGTGTTGGGATTACAGGCCTGAGCCACTGCGCCCAGCCAAGATTCATATTTAACCCACCTGGATCTCAAGGAATTCAACCTAATAGCTAAGACAGATAACTAAGACACAAACTGTTTTTCCCCTCCCTTTCTTCCTTTTTTCTCTTTCTTCTTTGCTTTTTTCTTTCTCCTTTACTCAACCATTTGAGAATAACCTACAGAGATCCTATCCCTTTGCCCTCAATAATCTTGCTTGTATCTCCTAAAAACAAAGACATTATTTTACATAATCACAGTGCAGTTACACATTTCAGAAATTTTAGCACAGATACAATACTATTATCTAACACGCAGTCCATTTTCAAATGTTGCTGATTATTCCATTATTGCTCCTTACAGAGACCGTTTCTTTTTCTTTTTTTTTTTCAGGGTACACTTTAGTGTCACATGGTTCTCCAAGTTTCCTTTGGGGTTTTTGTTTGTTTGTTGTTTTTGTTTTTTATTTGCAAAGTATAAGCTTGTTTCATTTTAGAATACCCCTCATAAGTTTGTCTGATTTTGTCTTATGATTCAATTGAAGTTATGCACTTGGGGCAAGAACTGCAATACTTCAACAATAACGCAGTGTCTTTCCCAGTGTCTCACACCAAACAGCATCTGATGTCATTAACATTGATAAAATTAGTATTTTCTGTAATGTTAATTTTGACATCTTGGTTAAGAGAATGTCTGGAACATAATATGTATAGATTTAAAAAACTCTAACAATATAATGTTTGAAGACATTAAAAAAAACAAAAATTCTGTGTTAGAAAAAATAATTCACCTCCAGATACAGTCCTTTCATTGTAAAATGTAAAAATGAAGATAAACAAATAAAAAAGAAAAATCATACTTCTCAAAACAGGTGACTATTGTTAACATTCTGATGTAAAGGTATATACCCTTCAGGTTTCTTTTTTCTCATAGTAGTATAGATATACATACTTACAGATTTGTAGTTTTTATAAAAATAGTATCACATTTTACAAAATCAATTTTCTTAATCTTTATGGTGAACATCCTTCTGAAGTAATCATTAAGCTTCTACAGTGTCACCTTGATACTTCATAATATTTCATTTGCTTTACTTTTATCTGTAGAAGACAGGATAAATGTAAAAAAGGAAGAAATTTGAGACATAATTTATGAGGCACATACATCTATATGCTTTTTTGCTGTTGTTTGTTTGGCCTTATGTGTTCATAACATCTTTTTCATCTTTCATTTGGGATTTAATTGGATCTCCACCAACCTTCAAATTTCCTTTAATGACTCAGTTATTCTGGAGATGCCAATTGGTCAGTTCAAAGAATAAGAAAGATGATAGTGAAGGAGAGAGAGGAAACATAACATTGGCTAAATAGTGTTAATTAAAAAGAAAATCTGTATTTTCTTATTCTTTCTAAGTAAGAAACGTTTGGTTGTATTTGGTATTGCCAACAGGACTTGGTGAATGTTGTGTGTCACTCTGTGTGTGTGTGTGTGTGTGTGTGTGTATACACCTTTTTCCTTTCCATTAATATGTGATCATATCTAGAGAATATCATGAACATAGTTTGCAGCTTATTCAAAAACTAAACAAAAATACCGGTTTCAGAAAAATCACACTATCAACAGTGTACGGTCTGGTTGAAAACAATAGCAACTCTTAACAGGGGCTAGAATGCCTTTGTAAAGTGTTTCAGTAACCTGATACCTGAGAGTCTAGCTAACAGGAAACAAAGATGAAGACAGTAAAACTACTCGGGGCGGTGGAGGGTGGGTGTAAGCAGAGGTAAGCAGAGGTGAGAGAAAGAGAGCAAGCCAAAGTGTTAGGAATCTCGCTTCAAAAATATGGCACTTATAAAAGAAAATTGATTCAGAAGAAAAGCATCATAGTAAATAGAAAATCCATAAGCCATATCACCAAGCGTACAATCTCTGGAGAGAATAGAAGCTTCCTACATATGGAATGGGGTTTGAGCCAATTCCATTGAATCTAAAAGTGTGGGCTACTTTAGTTAATAGTTGGTTGATGCCTGAATTATAGGGAACACAGTGTGTGACTAGAAGTCTGAATTAAAAAGAAGTAGGGTTTAAAAAAAAAAGCCAATTATTTAACCAATTAGCTACATAGTCATGTGGGAAAATGCTAACTCTGTTTCTCAATTTTTCCTTCTACAAAACAGATATGACCACCTGACTCACGTAACCTACATAATCACCTAAATATCAAATGAGAACTTTTAGAAAAGTGTAAAACGTCTTTAGGATGAAAGACATTTAAGAAGAACATACTCAGAAATCAGTGGCAATATGTCAATGCCTGTGATCTAGATTGCAAGCTCCATGTCTTTAGAGCCAACTGTATTTTGTTCTTATTCACATGAAAGTACACTCAAAATTGGCATGCAAGTAAATAATTCATCTTCTTACCCTTCAGTCTGTATGATGATGACAACATTCTTCACCTAATTGTTCAATGCAGAAACCTAGGCATCCACCTTGACTCACCTCCTTACCTCCATATCTAAGCAGTTGCCAGAGACCATCAAGTCCACCTGTCTAATTAGTGTACTTCTCCCTATCCCGGTTGCCACAGATTTTATTAAACACTGTGACACCCTCTTTCATAATGCTGCAGCTGATCATAATGTTGATGATTAAGGTGATAAGCAAAAGCTTTTATGCCAAGCACAGTATCAAGCACTTTTCACATATTAATTCATTCAATCTCACAGTAACTCTACTACATGGATATATGATTTTCTCCATTTTCCAAATGAGGAAACTGAAGCACAGAGATAATCATTAAATAACGTCTTTAAATGAAAGCACTTGGTAAATTGCGAAGCCTGGCTTAAGTTTGAACAGCCTGACAGTATATCTCACGTTCTTAGACACCACATTATAATTAGGATGGCTTCCTTTGCTCTTGTTATCCCTTCAAACTATTTTTCATAACAAGCCTAGAATATTATAAGAAATATATAACCATTATTTCTTGACCTCAGGGTAAAAATGCAAATTTCTTTTTAGGACACAAAACACATGGTTCTAGCTCAGACCTCTGGCCTAATCCCCTGACTACAAGGCATCAGGCTCTACTCATATTGGGCTGTTTTCATTTCTCTGAACACTATTTTGTGTTATCCTGCATCTGGCAGGCCACTGAATATTCTTTTTTGTCCACAGAGGACACATTCTTTGCCAATTTTGCATGACTAATTTCTACTCATCCTTCAAGTAACTGTTATGCAGTTCTTCCTCTGGTAAGTCTATCCTGACCGTCTCCCAAGATGGCTTTAAGATTGCTTGCAATGATACAGACAGGAGAGAGAGAAATACTGGGTAGAAGAGGGCAGTTCACCAGCAAAGACCCCACCCTCAAGCCTGGAAACCCGCGGCCCTAAATAAGAATAGGCGTTTCTGTTCTCACACACGAAAAGTTGCCTTTTGGCCTGCCACGACCCCCCATTTTATACCCATATAAATTCTGAACCCCAGGCTCCAGAAGGAGTTGAGCAGACAAGCAGACGACGAGACAAGGAGACAAGCAGATGAATGGTATAACCACACGGCAAAGAGAGAAGAGGAGGAACGTCTGAACGCTGAGAGGTGTTTGACTGGGGGTGGTCAGAGAGGAGTTCGGCCGCTGGACTCCAGGGGAATATCATCTTCCCACTCCATCCCCGCTTCTGGGTCCCCATCGATCCTACTGAGAGCCACCTCCACCACTCAATAAAATCCCCACATTCATACTTCAAGTCTGTGTGTGACCCAATTCTTCTGGGACGCTGGACAAAAGCTTGGGATACAGAAAGCTGTCACACTGGCCCTCTGCCGTTGCAGAAAGGCAGAGTCCACTGAGCTGGTTAACACTCAAGCTGTCTGTGGACAGCAAGGCAAAAAGAGCACACTGTAACACATGCCCAGTTGGGCTCCTGCGCCTCTCTGTCTGCGTGCTCCCCCTCCCATAAGGGGTTTGGGCAGCCATGGCAACAGAACAGACGAGCCACATCCCTTTAGCACATCCTGCAAGAGGGATCAGGGAACTGCCCCGTTTCAGCAACAGATTCCTATTGCATCTTGTATTCTCTCTCAATTCATTCCATGTTATAATTGCCTGCCTACTTTACTGTATCTTCCAATTGACTGTAAACTCCTTGAATAACATGTGTGTAATTTAATTGTTTACCCTAATAAATTCTGGCATTCAGAATGCTCTCAATTAAGGGTTCTCAACATGAGGTCATTGTACAAACTTCAGCAGTCCAATTAATCCCCATGAAATCTTATGCCGAATGCTGTATTCTTATGGAAGTGTACTTTTTTGGGAGTGTGGGAAATAATCAGTCTATGATTTACCACTGGGCTAGGGTATGTTTGTAGGTAAAATAAATTAGAAATCTTCCAATAGCCTTTCTACAGCACCTATGTCCTAAAAAAAAGCCCATAATTTCTCAATATTCTCTAGGGTCTGCTCTTCCTGTAACATTGATACCTCCCTATCTCTTGTGTGGCAAGCTGGACATGCCTTCTGGTTCCATGATTCCATTCACGTTAGGAATTGACGGGCTGTGATCAGAAAATCCAAATCATCAAAGTTCTTTTACAAATTAAATGTCATCATTGAGCCTGGGCAGGAAATATAATTATCTTAGTCAATCGAGTATTCTAATTAACGGAGAGCAATAACAGGTGAGATGTGACTATATGGTGATGAGGTGGACTTATGTAAGTGGTTTGTGGAATTAATCTTATCACTTTAGAATTGCAGTTACATGTAGATTTTCAGGTTCCGAGGAAGCAGAATAGAGAAAAGGCATGCTTCTGATTGGAATTTAATCTCTGATGATTTGGCAAGATCTTACAGTGCTTTTGGGTTAGTGCTAGAAGCATTCATCATCATTGCCATAGCTGTACAAGTAATAGAGATTTCTGGTTGAAGCCTCAGTTTTCACTCCTCTCATTTAGACCTCAGGAAGAAAAGAGAAAGGTGTTAAAAAATATAGTGGGTGACTTCAAGGAGAATAAAAGAAATCTGTATTCATTGGCTGTGGTGGCTGAATTGTTTTCTGTTCTCTAACATGTATTAACCTTCTGCCCCCTTCTGTGGCCTCGTAACAGATTCATTATTACTTTTTTAATGATAAAAGTGTTTGGACAAAGTGTTTCATTAAAAGGACAAGCCTGAACAGGTCCTAAGCACAAAGCTCTATAAAGTAGAAAGTTAATATTCACAGAACTCTTACGTCCTTTGTATCCAACAGAAAGACAATAACACGTTAGTCATTTTTCAACCTCATTGGGGTATGGGGTGTACAGGAAATAGGAAGAAAATAAGAGAAGTGAGGACTGCCCTTTCAAGGCAATCTGTGGGGATCTTGGACCAAGTATTACATTCAGTCTAGCATTAATCAGTCTTCTCAAACACCTTACAATTAATTCTGCATAATAATAAAGGTGTCCAAAAAATCAAGGACTGGAAACACATTTGAATCAGAAACCGGAGCTCACAAAGAACTCAAGCTGTCTTCAGTAACTTAAGACCTACCTTCCCAACTGCCTCTTGGTCATCCAAAAGGCTGTTACATTTATCATGACACAAAGGAAATTTATCATCTTCTCTCCAGATGCAATCCTCCTCATTTCTACCTCATTTCACCCAAGGGGAACAAATTAATCATCTCGTCCTCTGAACTGCTTCTATACTTTGTTTATTGCACTTATAATTTTTTGAATGCTTATCTTGTTACATGTAAGTAAGGCATAGTACAGATTACACTCTAGCCTCTCCCATGACAGTGAGTAGACTGAGCCCTCTGAGAGAAGGATCTTTCATTTTACATCGACTATATCTTGCACAGCACTGACCTTTAGATAATATTTAAAAATATTCTGTTATCAATGGCATTTGCTAAGATATAGCAAAAATTATGTGTCAGACACCATTCCAAGCAAGTTATATGTACTACCTTATGTTTGCATATATAACAGCCCTATGGAACATATATAACTATTGTCTCAGACTCATAAGTGAAAAGACAAGAAAAGCACAGAAAGTTTAATAAACTTTCTTAAGACCACCTACCCAGTAGCAGAAAGAGCCGAATTCAAATCCAAGTGCTCTTTCTGGCCTCTCCATTATCTTCTTAATATTCTGCATAATATTATATTGTATCATGTAATGGTTTCCCTTTTTATTAAAAACTCTCATTCACTGCCCTCCCCAACCCTATATAGGGCAATACTAGATTCAATACCTCCAGGAATTACCACTGATTGGCTCACCACCAATTGGTCATGTTAGCAGACAGTCTCAGCTCTATTTCCAACTGAGTGCCAGCCTCATAAGTGATCATAAGGTCATCTTTTACCTAAATTTTGGCAGATTATCCTATCTGACAGCATCTGATTTCACTACCAATACTAGAGCCTTGCCATGCACCCTAACTCATTGTGTAAATAGTAACAATTAAAACAATAGAAACAGCTGTATAAATTCAAAACCAGGATGAGAAAACAAGAAACAACAATAAAATCTCAATCAAGCACTCCCAATAAAAAACAAAAATAGAAAAATTAAAAGCATAATAGTCAAACGGAAACCTAAGTCAAAAAAGATAAAAAATAATTCCAAATACATGAGAAATCACATTAAATATAAATGAGTAAATCCTCGATAAACAATAGTCATTGCCATTTTAAAAAAAAATCTCTAGTTACATGCTATACTGTTATACTATACTAATACAAAGAGATAAATGCTTACCACAGGAAACTTCAGGTGAAACAGATACCTTGACAGCAATAAGCATTATTAGGAAAAGAGAGGATAATTACAGATAAGAGGTAACTGTGGACTAAACTGTGTCCCTACAAAATTTCTATGTTGAAGTCCTCGGGCACAATGTGATAGTGTTGGGAAATGGTGCCTTTGGGAGGTAATTAGGTTAAGCTGAGGTACCGAGGGCAAGGCCCTCATGACGGGAATAGTAGCACTATAAGAAGGGACACAGGAGAGCATTTTCTCCCACTTACCATGTGAAGACACAAGGAAATCATAGCCATTTGCAAGCCAGGAAGACAGCCCTTACCATAACCACGTAATCAGCCTATTCTGGCATCCTGATTCTGAACTTCCAGCTTCTCAAACTCTGAAAATGAATTTCTGTTGTTTAAGCTACTCAGTCTATGGTAATTTGTGATGGCAGCCCAAACGGACTAATACAGATGTCCAATATCTCTAGAAGATGTGAGTTCTTTGGAACATAATCTCAAAATAGATAAAATGTATAAAATATCACAGAAAATCTGAGGAAAATTTAAAAAAATTCACTACCTTTATGGAAGAGCTTTCAATTAGGCAAAAATGTCAGTGAGGATATAGAAGATGTGAAAAGAACAGTTAGCAACTGATAAACTCAAACAATTAGTGAAGACACATCTGATCATGCACAGAAGAAGCATTGTGATAACTATGCACTAGCCATAAGGCAATCTCCACACACCAAAAAACCACAGCTCCTTCTCTCATCCAAAGTCACTGTTCTGTACTGTAGGTCATAATCGTCACAAAAAAATTTAAGAAGACAAAAAAGCCAAAATGTATAAGGATTGGGAAAGAACAAACAAAACTATCATTATTCACAGATCTTGTTTTCTGTTAAAATAGACAAGAGAACTTATAGGGGAAAAAATAAATAATAAGGGAATTTGGAAACTTTGCTAGATACTTTATATATATATATATATATATATCTCAAGATACTTGATATATATCAAGATACTTGATTATATATATATATACATTACATTTTATTCTGTTATCAATGGCATTTCTATACCTAACAACAAAATAAAATGTAATTTTTCTAGAAGATACCATTTATAATAGCAAAAAAGTATGTGTAAAAAAGAAATAAGTATTTAAAAGAAGTGTATCACCTAGATAAATAAAATTTCAAGGCTTTATTCAAATATATTAAAGTGGCCAGGCATGGTGGCTCATGCCTGCAATACCAGCACTTTGGGAGGCCAAGGTGGGCGGATCACCTGAGGTCAGGAGTTCAAGACCAGCCTGGCCAACATGGTGAAACCCTGGCTGTACTAAAAGTACAAAAATTAGTAGGGCATGGTGGTGAGCACCTGTAATCCCAGCTACTTGGGAGGCTGAGGCAGGGAGAATTGCTTGAACCTGGGAGGTGGAGGTTGCAGTGAGCCAAGATCATGCCACTACTCCAGCCTGGGCAACAGAGTGAGACTCTGTCTCAAATTTAAAAAAAAAAAAAATATATATATATATTATATATATATATATATATATATATATAATATATATATATAATATATATATATGCCTAAATAATTGGAACTTGGTGCCATTTCCAGAGATAAAAAAGATGTCCTACAGTTATCAATTCTCCTTAAATTAGTGTGAAAAATCAATCAATGTAAATTCAATCAAAATTCCAACAGAGTTTTTCTTGAATTTTCTAAAGCTGGACATATTCATTCTAAAATATATGTGGAAGAGTATACATTTTACTAAGAATAGCTAATAAAATTGTAAGGAAAAGCAATATGGTTAGAAGTGACCGCACAGATGGAGACTCTAACATGAAGCAACAGTACGAAGACAAGAAAGTAGAGCTGAAAGGAATGGTGGGACACAGGAGCACAATGGAGAGACTAGAAACACACTAGACCTTTATAACACACGTCATATGCAGAGCAGGCACTACCTGTCAGACAGAAGATGGACCAGTCAGTTAAAGGAATTCATTTGTTTGCCCATATGGCCAATCTGGGAATTGGATCCCTCATATACGAAATAAACTAAAAGGAATTTTATGTGAAGAGTCAAACTTCTAAACTTAAAAAGAAAATAAATGATCACACCGTTGTAATATCAGGATCTGGTTTTGTAAACAAGTTATGAAACCATAGATTGATAAATCTGATCATTCACAAATGAAACCTCCTGTTTATCAAAAGCAGCATCAAGTGTGTGTGTGGTTGTGTGTGAGTGTGTGTGTGTGTGTTTGTGTGACAGAGGCAGATGGACAGACACAGAGATAGAAAAACAGAGACAGAAACAGAGAAGATAAAAAGACAGAAGCTATAGACTGCAGTACTTGTGTATCACATCTAATTGGCCAAGAATCAATATCTGGTATATGTAAGTTAAATCTACAAAAATTAGAGGAATATAAGTAATTCAACAGGAAACTGGTAAAATTAGCCAAAGAGGTAAAGTGAAATATCTTTTTGAAATTTTAAAAAGTGTCAGTCTCTCATCAGAGAAGTGAAATTAAAATCCAGGAAAGTATAATTTTACACTATCAGATGGGTAAAAATTAAGTTATATGATAATAACAAGTTCGGAAAGCTGTGAAAGCATAGGAACTCTTACATACAGGTAGTGGCAGTAGAATTAGGCACAAAAATTTTGCAAGGGTGTTTGGTCTAAAAATGTTAAAGTCAATAATAGTGTTGGAATGTACCAAAACTTCATTCATAAGTTTACAGAAAGATGTAGAGGAATTATAAAAGGAGCATTATATGCACTTTTAAAACAATGAAACATCCTAAATATAAATTAAGAGGTAAACGTATAAATAGATTCTGACATTTTTATGGAGATATCATATAGCATTGATAAAGGAGGCACAGATGTACACCTATCACTATGGAGAAATCGCACAAATAAATTGTGAAGGGAATAATGCAAGTTTAAAAACACAAACTATAAAGACACATGCACATGTATTTTTATTGTGGCACTGTTCACAATAGCAAAGACTTGGAACCAACCCAAATGCCCATCAGTGATAGACTGGATAAAGAAAATGTGGCACATATACACCATGGAATACTATGCAGCCATGAAAAAGGATGAGTTCATGTCCTTTACAGGGACATGGATGAAGCTGGAAAACATCATTCTCAGCAAACTAACACAAGAACAGAAAACAAACACCAAATGTTCTCACTTATAAGTGGGAGTTGAACAATGAGAACACAAGGACACAGGGAGGGGAACATCACACACCAGGGCCTGTCAGGGGGTGGGGGGCTAGGGGAGGCATTAGGATGGGGCATTAAGAGAAACACCATGCAGATGACGGGGTGATGGGTGCAGCAAACCACCATGGCACATGTATATCTATGTAACAAACCTGCATGTTCTGCACATGTATCCCAGGACTTAAAGTATAATAATAAAAAAAAACCCACAAAGTTTTAAAATACACAGAAGGTGAAGTGTATCTGTGAAAACCTATAGGTAACATTTAAATATTGAAGCTTTTCCCTTACAGTTAGGACAGGACAAGAATGATTACTTTTACTATTTGTATTTAAAATGTGCGGTAAGTTCTAATCAGCACAATTGGGAGAGAGAGAGAGAGGTGGAGTGGAGGAGAAATTAATCAACAAAAGGAAAGAGAGAAAAAGAAAGGGAGAGAAGGAGAGTGAAGAAGGAAGGGAGAAGAGAGAGAGAGAGTATGTAGATAGATGCGAAGTTTGGAAAGTAAAATGTAAGGCATTCTTTATTTGCAGGTTACATGATGGTGTTATAGAAAATCCGAAGGAAGAAGGAAGGTACAAACACTGGAACTAATAGGTAAATTTAGTAAGGTCACAGGCTAAAGGATCAGTATACAAAAGATTAATTGTATTTCTAGTAGCCATAAATGATTGAAAAATAAGGCTTTAAAAGTCAGAATTGTTATTAGCATTAAAAAGAAGCCCTAGGAATACAGTTAACAAAAGATGTGTAAGACTTAGAAAATAGTGCTGAAATAAAATTTCAAAAAGCCAAATAAATGGAAGTATGAACTATATTTTTATATTGAAAAACTCAATATTGTTGACTTTAAACCTCTTCCAAATTGATCTATAATGCAACTCCAATCAAAATTACATCAGTCTTTCGTAAAAATAGCGTTTGGCAAGCTAATTGCAAAATGTATATGGAAATGCAAATGACCTAAAATAGCAAGGCAATCATGAAGAAGATAAACACAATTAGAGGACTTAACACTCCCTGATTTCAAGGCTTACTCTAAAGCCGCAGTAATAAAGATAGTGTGCTATTTGCAAAATTATATACAGATTGATTGGTGGAAATGAGAAGTCTAGAAATAGACCCACACATATGTCATAGGTTATTCTAAAAAAAAAAAGGTGTTGAAGCAATTCAATGAGAACAAAGTCTTCTCAATAAACAGTGCTGAAAAAACAAGATATCCATTAGGTACTATTTTTAAACTCTATTTATTAACTCATTTGAATCCTTGCACACCATATAAAGAAAATACTGATGGTATTTTTATTTTTATAGAAAACAAACTGAGGCACAGAGGGGTTAAATAGCTTGCCTAATGTCACACAGCACACAAGTAGCAGAGCCAGAATTAGAACTGATGCAACAGAGAGGTCAACACAAGCTAGAATGAACAGAGGACAGCTGGCCAGAAGAAGCTGTTTTGATGTGAGAAAGATAAAAAGCATTTATTTGGGGACAATTTTCTTTCATGGTTTTCTCTGGTTTCTTTTTCTGCTTTTTATTTTTCTGACTCAAGAAGTCCTTGCCCCAGTTATCCTCCACTCAAGAGGTCACTCTCCTGGCCTGGCTTTTCTGCCTCTTATATGGGAGGTTACCAAAGAGAGAACCACTTTGAGCCAGGAGAAGATAAGCCACTACTCACCCATTATGAAGTAGATAATGTGAATAGCTCTCTATTAAGGAAACTGGGTTTGTAATTTATGCCCAGAAAAGAAATCTCCAGGCCCAAATGGTTTCGCTGGAGAAGGCTACCAAGAATTTAAAAAATTAACATGAAATCTGTATGATCTCTTCCAGAAAACAGAAGAGCACTCTGGTTTAACACATGTTGGAGGTCCTAGCCAGTGCACTAAAACAAGAAGAGAAAATAAAGGCATACAGATCAGAAATAAGTAAATAAAACTGTCTCTATTTGATGATGATACGATTGTCTTCACAGAAAATTTCAAAGAATTCTAAAAAAACTCTCAGAATTAATAAATGAGTACAGAAAGTTTACAGTGTACAAGATAAATATTTTAAAGTCAATTGTAATTATTTATAATATTATCTAGTTTATGTGATGCATTTATATATTAATCATGTATGATAAAAGTTTTTAAAATATAATTTATAATCACTCAAAATAAATAAAATACATGTAAATCTAACAAACATGTACATAAATTGTATGTATGCTGAAGACTATAAACCTTGATGAAAGAAATCAAAGAATAACAGTAAAGTATTTCAAGTATTGAAAAATTCAACATAGTAAAGAAGTCAGTTCTCCCCAAATTGACATATAATTCTCATGAAAATCTCAAAAAGATTTTTATAGACATATAAAAGATTAGTCTAAATTTTACATGGAAAAGCAAAGAAACTAAAATAGTTAATATAATTTCAAAAAAAGAATAAAATAGAAGAGTTAAATATATTGGGCTTTTAATTTTTTTTTTTTTAAAGACATAATCTTGCTCTGTTGCCCAGGGTGGAGTGCAGTGGCATGATCTTGGCTCACTGCAACCTCAACCTCCCAGGTTCAAGTGACGTTCCTGACTCAGCTTCCTGAGTAGCTGGGATTACAGACGTCTACCACCATGTCCAGCTAATTTTTACTAGAGGCGGAGTTTCTCCATGTTGGCCAAGCTGGTCTCAAATTCCTGACCTCAAATGATCCACCCACCTCGGCCTCCTAAAGTGCTGAGACTACAGACATGAACCACTGTGCGTTACTGTATGGCTACAATGAAAAAAATTCTGTGGAATTGTCAGAGGTACAGACACAGAGATCAATGAAACAGTACAGAGTATCCAGAAATAGACCCACAGAAATTTACTCAAAAGATTCTTGAAAAAAGAAAGGTGCAAAAGCAACTTAAAAAGGAATATAGACTATTCGACAGTTCAACAAATGGTGCTGGAGCAATTGGACATCTATTGGCACAAAAGAGATCAAAAAAGGACCCCGATCTAAGATGCAAAATTCATCCAATTAATCTGAAATGAATACATGGATCATGGACTTAATGTGAAACAGACATTATAAAACTTTTAGAAGACAACATAGGAAAAAACATTCTATCTCAGGAAAGATGAAATATTGTTAGACTTGACATCAAAAGTACCATCAATCAAACAAAAATTTGATAAAATGGACCTTATCAAAATTAAAAATTATGCTCTGTGAAAACTACACTGAAGATAAAGATAAAAGCTACAGAGTGGAAGAAAATATTTGCAAACCACATATCCAACAAAGAAATAGAATTTATAATATATTTTTTAAAAACTCACAAAACCTAACAGTCAAGAAAAAAAACAATTAACTTGGGACACAAACAACAGACATGAAGAAACACTTCACTGAAAAGGCTATATGGATGACACATAAGCCCATGAAATGTTTAACATCACTCGCCACTAGACAAATGTAATGAGCTAACACTAAACATCAATCAGAATGGCTACTTTAAAAAAAAAAAAAAAGAACACCAAACGGTCATGAGGACGTGAAGTAACTGGATTGCTCATATTTGCTGATGGGAATATAAAATGGTAGATTGAAAAATCATTTGGCAGTTTCTTCAAAAACCAAACATGCAACCATCATGTGACCTGGCAACTGCACTTTTAAGCATTTACACCAAAGAAACAAAGGCTTAATTAAGTTAACACAAAAGCTGCACATGAATAGTTATAGCAGCTTTATTCATAATAGTCAAACACTGGGCACAACTCTGACTTCCTCCTGTGGGTGAATGGTCAAACGGTTCATGGTAAGCACACTTACCATAGAATACTGCCCAGCAACAAACATACAGGAACTGTTGATGCATGCAAGAATCTGAATTAATCTCCAGAGCATTATTCTGAGTGAAACGCCAGCCTAACAAGGTTGCCCAGTGTATTATGATTCTACTCATATAACATTCTTGAAATGGCAAAATATTGAAAACAGAATAGTGGTTGCCAGGGATTAACGAAAGAAAGGAACTGGAGAAAAGTTGGTGTGTCGATAAAAAGGGTGATATGAGGGATCCTTGTGGGGATGGAGATGTTCTCTGTGTTGACTATATCAATGGCAGAATCCTGGTTGTGGTATTTTACTACAGTTTTGAAGGGTGCTACCATTGGGGAAAACTACATAAAGGGTACTCACGATCTCCCTGTTTCTTATAATTGAATGTGAACCTATAGTTATCTCAAAATAAAAAAGGAAAGGGCTCAACAATCTTTTTTTTTTTTTTTTTTTTTTTGAGACGGAGTTTCGCTCTTGTTGCTCAGGCTGGAGTGCAATGGCGTGATCTCGGCTCACCGCAACCTCCGCCTCCCAGGTTCAAGCAATTCTCCTGCCTCAGCCTCCCGAGTAGCTGGGATTACAGGCATACACCACCACACCCGGCTAGTTTTGTATTTTTTTTAGTAGAGTCGGGGTTTCTCCATGTTGAGGCTGGTCTTGAACTCCTGACCTCAGGTGATCCGCCCACCTCGGCCTCCCAAAGTGCTGGGATTACAGGCATGAGCCACAACAATCTCTTTCCATAGACCAAAGTTCCATGAAGGACTGTCCCCCTTTATATTATCATACTAGCATAGTTCTGGGAACAGTAGTTGCTAAGTAAGAATTTGCCAAATGAATGAATAGCTTATATGACCATATTTTGTTTGCTTAAAAACATCAGAGAAAAAAGTTAAAGGGCACAAGTACCAAAATCCTGAGCAAAAAAAGCACACACATGCACACATACACACACACACAGATATATAAAAATGGCTTTAAGCATGTGGAAAATATTCAAAATTATTCACAATGAGATAAATACAAATTAATAAAACCCAGTGACACCTTGAAATGATGATTGAAGAAAATGACAAATTATGACAACACATCCTGTTCATGTGGCTTTGAAGAATTAGTCACTTCCACACGTTGCTGGCAGAAATGCAAACAATCATTGTGTAGAGGAATTTGGCAGTATCTAACAAAACTGTAAATGAACTTACATTTTAAACTGGCAATGACTTGTAGGAATCCACACTAGATATACACCTTGGACAATATGAAAATACACATATACAAAGTTATTCATCGTAGCATTGTTTTGACTTCCAGAGTATTTGCAACAGACTAAACGTTCACATATAGAAGAATGGTTACATAACCTATGGTAAATCCACAAAATGCAACAAATGGGAGAACATCTCTATGTACTGATAGAGTGATTGTAAAAGATATTTTTAAATGAGAAAAGTTCTCCACCTTTCATGTTAGAAAGAAAGGGATATACAAAAATATAACTGTGTTGCTATTTTGTACAAAATAATTACAAGAAGGGTAAAATGGATACATCACACTAGTGAGATTGATTACATGGAGAAGGTGAGTAGCAATGGGGTAGAAACAAGAAGAAAATAGAATGTGGTCACAGGAATGAGGTGGTAGTGACATCTCTCCATAGATAGATGATAGATAGATAGATAGATAGATAGATAGATAGATAGATAGATATAGAGATTATATATACATAATATACATTTACAGAACAGAAATGGAGATATGTGATATATATTTGCTAGAAAATATACTTATATTTCCTAGTTCTGTCTGTTGGCAAGATCTACAAGCAATGAGACTCCTCCAATAGGAAGGAATATACCTAGTACTCAAATCTTAGTTTCTAAATATGTTCTCTAATAAAAGAAACAGCTGCTTGGAGAAATATCTAGCTCTACTGCCAGGATAAGGAAAACACAAGATGAACCCACACATTGTATGGTAAGTAAGTAAATGCTCAAAATTACTGGAAGTAAGTAAATGCTCAAAAAATAACAATAGCATGTTACAAACAACAACAATAACAACATAAAAACCAACTGGAATGAGCTCTGGATTGCCAAAGCTAAAACAATCTGAGCAACATACTAGTGAGATTATTGAATTGCAACTCGTAGATAGAATAAATATCTAAAACTGTATACTGAATAAATTACTGAATAAAGACTCGGAGAAGGACAATGACTCCTCAAAGTAGAATACAACTTAACACATCCCTTCATTGAAGAGATAAAGAAAGTGAGAAAACCATCCTGAGGCTGATACCACAGTGATAATTATTGCAGACAAAAGTTATCAATGAATACTAAAATTTATGGGTGTAAGTGTGATGAGAAACACAGTATTTCCTGGGTTTTATAATATCTCTTCCAAAATATTAATTCATCACCAACAAGAGGAATTTTACAGTGGAGAAACCCTGAAGATATTACCTTAAGAAAATGTTCAAGATAAACATCATTAGTAATAAAATATATCTGCACCACATATACCTTGGTATGGTGCATTGGGAAGAGAATATCATTTCTGTAGTATCATTGCCAAATAAATTTGTAATCTGAATCTTATCATGAGAATATATCAGACATATCCAGACTGAGTAACATTCTACGAAAGAGCTGACCAGTACTCTTTAAAAGTAGAAGTCATAAAAGACAAAGCTTGAGGAATGGTCACCAATTGGTGCAGACTAAGGAAACAAAAAAATACACACATTGTCACAACCTGGACTGGATTCTGGCCCAGAAAAAGGACAATAGTTGAACAACTAATGAACTTCATATAAGGTTCTACAGATCAGTTAAGAATACCAATGCTAATTCGTGGTTTCCAAGTTTGTATTATGGTTACATAGTATGTTAATATTGAGGGAATCTAAGTGAAGGTTATGTGGAAATTTCCCACTATTTTCACAACTTTTCTTTAAGGTTAAAATTATTTTAAAGGGTTAATTAAAAAACAAATACTTCCAGTGAAAATGGCTCAGTAAACCATCGCAACTGGATAAAGCAATCCAGGACAAGTATTAGATTAGGCCTGTAGCCTTCCCATTGAAGTTCATAGTCTTAAGAGAGTCTTCACAAAGAATTTAAAGTTAGGGATGTGAGAGCAGAAAAATAATTTTTAAAAATGTAACTATAAGGAAATTTGGATCTGGTTATTGGCATACAGAAATGCCTTGAAGCAAATATCACATATCTTCTAACTTTTGTAGAGAAATCGATTACGAGGTAGTATGGACTGAATGTTTGTGCCCTCCCTAAAATTCATATGTGAAACCCTAACCCTCAATGTGGTGATAGCAGGAGGTGAGGCCTTTGTCGGGTGATTAGGTCCAGAAGAGGTTATAAGGGGATTAGTGGCCTTATTTTTATTTTATTTTATTTTATTTTCATTAGTATTATTATTATTATTTGAGATAGTCTTGCTCTGTCACCCAGGCTGGAGTGCAATGGCACGATCTTGGCTCACTGCAACCTCCACCTCCTGGGTTCAAACGATTCTCATGCCTCAGCCCCTGGAGTAGCTGGGACTACAGGCACAAGCCACCACGCCTGGCTAATTTTTGTATTTTTAGTAGAGATGGGGTTTCACCATGTTGGCCAGGCTGGTCTTGAACTCCTGACCTCAGGTGATTAGCCCACTTTGTCCTCCCAAAGTGCTGGGATTACAGGCATGAGCCACCATGCCCAGCTGGATTAGTGCTCTTATAAGAAAAAGGAAGAGACACCAGAGCTCCCCCTCTCCACAGGAGCACAAACAAGTGTCATATGAGCATGTACAGAGATGGTGGCTGCCTACAAGCCAAAAGAAGAGGCCTCAGGATGAAACCTGCCATAGATGGGATGACTTAAACAGTGAAAGTTTATTTCTCACTGTTCTGGAGGTTGGCAACTTCAAGACCAAGGCTGCAGCACTTTCGGTGTCTGGCAAAGGTCTGGTTTTTTTGTTCCTAGATGGTATCTTCTCTCTGTGTCCTCACATGGTTGAAGACACAAGGCAGGTCTCTGGCATCCCCCATCTATGGTGTTTTGGATGGCAGCTCAAGTAAAGTAGGTCCAGGGAAACTGAGTCTGGATTCAGAGCCTAAGATTACTGAAAATTCTGCTCCCAATTTTTCACTAGAAGGAGGGCTGGTAATACTATGGTGGGCCTAGGGAAGGCATGAACACACTTCCGATGTAGCCATGGAGGATAATAGAAAACAAAAGGAAGAGCAGATCCAGGAACCATGAGAAACATGACCAGAAGATGTAGCTTCTCCCAGAGGAAGAGTCAGGGCTCCTCTCTCCTCAGTTTTCCTGCTCTTCCCCTCCAGATTGTTCACTGATGCCCAAGACATCATGGTGGCTGCTAGACAAGTGACTCATGAACAGCTTTATTGTACACACACTGTGTATGGTGAGAGAAGCTACAATCACAAAGCATCAGTGGCTGAACTCAGTAAAGGTGTGTTTCTTGTCCGTATCATAGAACAGTGTGTGTTATGGGAGGGCCCCTACTTCACCCATTCATTGTCTCCACCATACCCTGGAACCTCCACTGGGTCCATTGCCGCTGCCCAGGAGGACAGTGAGCAGCATGTGTGGACGATCCTGGAGAGGTTTGAATGGGTCAGGCCTGTAAATGACACTGACCACTTGTCTCTCCAACAGGTCACTGACCAGAGCTCAGTCATGTGGACTCACCCAACAGGAGTGTTATCCAAGTGCCCTGTTTGCTGAGCATCTACCTGTTTCTCTCCCACACACACATCCTGGTAGAAGGATGGGGATCCTGACATACTCACTTAAAAGTTCGAAAGCAACTTTTTAAATTAAAAAATATATTTTTGAAATATATTTATAGTAATACACATAAATCTGGTTCATTTACTTACACTTCTCTAAAATATCTCAGGGTATAAATAAAAAAGTTTAATTCTTTATAGGTGAGAAAATTGGTTATTTTTCAATTTCTAGCTATTATAAGCAAGGCTGCAATGAACATCATTTATATATCCTTGTGGCCATATGGGAGCATTTTATTTCTATAAATGAATTTGCACACAAAAAAATACTGCAATACTGTGTCACATGGATGATGGCATACATATAGACTAAAGATATTCTACAATGCATAATAATCTCACATACTGATTTCTTAATAGCACTCCAAGTAGAAAAGTAGGAACAAAGGAAGAGGTGGTGAAAAACTAAGCTAGAATTTTAACATTGTATTTTTAAATTTAAAAATAACGAAATATGACAAATGGTTAACATATGTTTAAGCTGAGTGATGGATATCTGAGCCTCAGTTATTTCCGGCATGTTTAAAGCATTCAGTAATTAGAAAAATGTACTGCCAGCTGAATTTTAGCCATTTTAACAATTGTTGACCCTGTGTGGTCTCATCAGATGAGTTCTCAGACCTACACACCAAATCTCTCTTCACCAAACTTTAGGACCCATTTTTCACATTTCATTTGCAAATTCTCATTGCAGCCCCTTGCTTGACCTTCAAAACCAGCATGACAGGCTTAGGCATCCAGGGACCTATTAACTAACCATGTCTTTAATTTCTGTGCCAGGAAACAAGCTTACAGGAGACATTTCCTAGCCCTAATGTTCGATTTCTAATGCACACAGCTGGAACACAAAAATTGAAATGTGCCAGGATTTGGCTAATTGGGGGCACAACAGGTATAATTCAATTGTGTGCTCAGTTTTATAGCCTCTATTTTTGGAAGGCAATGAATAAGTAAATAAATAAAGGCATAAATGCAGTGTAAAAACCCTGTGATAATGTTATCCCGTCAATTAATTATGAACCTTTCAATACAGCTTCCTCTCTGTGAGCCTTGAAACCCTGAATTTCATTACGGCATCAACAAGAGTTTTCCCTTTTCTATTTAATTAAGTTTACTTTTCGATTTAGAGCCGATCACACGGACAAATGCTGTAATTCACTTGGAGGTCCACATTTCACTTTGCATTTATCCCCTTCTTGCTTTTGGGAATTTGTTGTAAGAAAATTGTCCAAGGGTGGATAGGCCATGCAAAAAAATGCTTAGGGGAATATCAATGAGTCAAACTTGACTGGGAAATATTTCCCTGCAGACACCAGCCTCCATTTCCCCATAGGGCACCAGTGGATTATTCTGAGAAGCTAACTCAGCACGGTCACTTTCCTCTAGTCCCATATATTATATTAGAATATCTATGTACATTATGCAAAATCCTCATAACAATCCTGCCTAACAGATATCAGTATCCTCATTTTATAGACAAGAACATTGAGGCTAACAGAGGTAGCAGACACAGAAAGGAAACACAGGTTTGTTTGACTCCAAAGCTGCTGAGCCTACCCCTACCCCACACATCACCTAGCTCATTTTAGGGATGTAGAAACAAATTTATTGTGGAACCAAAGCAAGGCAACCAAGAAATACAGCATTAAATTTCTTTTAATATAATAGATGCTGAATTTCCGCTAAATTAACATGTAATTAACTTTAGGCTAGGAGAATACAAGATACCAGTTAAAAAGTGTTTTTTTAAAGGGTCTGATGGTAGGATAAAAGACATTTTACCAGTTCAACCACCCCACACAAGGCCAATGTCCTACACTGTCAAACTTGCACAGTAGAATTTCAGGGGCCCAAGGCAAATCACTCACATCTTTCAAGATCCCCTTTATTCCAGTAAAGAACAAAGTCCTTCATTCTACTGAGGAAGACAAACTCAAATGCAAATAATTTGGAGAGCAACAATACAAATTCTTTAATAGTTTACCCCTTAACCAAGCTTTAATGTAGACAGTTAGAAGAGCAAAAGAATACTCCTCTCTTTTGGGGGAAAGGAGAGGAAACATGACATCCTCATGTTCTCATCCTGCCACTGCCTAGAAGGATTTTTGGATTCTTCTTTTACATTGAAGTAGACATCTCTGAGATTAGCACAAATTTATCCTTAAATGTTTCCAAATGTCACAGCAAAAGTCCATCCAAAGAGTTAAAAAAAGCTTTGGCATCTGATGAAAGTACAAGAGGGGTGTGTGTGTGTGTGTGTGTGTGTGTGTGTGTGTGTACATGCACAGACTCTTTATTACACTTTTGAAATCAGGAGATAGTAATAGTTTTACCCTCTGTCAGTGGGTGAGGAAAGGGCTGAAGACCCCAGGTGTCTCTCTTTGCTGGCTGATGACGCCAGCCACTGGTGCTGAAAGAATATAAGAATATACAGGGGCAGAGTGGAGGCTCTAAATTACAGAGAAGACACCAGGACATCCTCTTTCCGAAGAAACAGATAATGAGATACTTACACCTGGTTCAGTCTGATTCTATTATCAAAACATTTAAAAAACCCGCAGTGTATAAAAATGCAAGTACAGAGAATCTTCCCACGATATATCCCACGTAACTTTTGCACTCCATCAGATAGCACCTTAGTCTGCTGTTTTACCCCAGCCATTGCTCTGCCAGAAAGCTATACTGGTGCACCCCGATAGCACCTCCACTTGGGCGTACTAAGTCTACCACCTTTCACTCAGGGATTTCTATGCCTCTACATGAGATTTCTTCACGAACTCACTTGGCCATTATGAAAAAAAAAAAAAAACTCAAAGTAGAAGGACAAGGGTATTATCAATCCATGGGCTGACTTTCCACCAAAGGAAAATGAAAGCTAGTATATAAGTGTTCACCTTTTCTACCTCTGGTTGGACAATTACAGATTTATTAATCACAGCTTTCCAGAAAGACCCCAAAAGAATCAAATCCTAGTTGTTGACAGACAGTGGTGATCAGCTCTGTCATGTCTTCTTGGACTGGCTTTCCTTCTTCCCCTATCTTACTTGTCCCAGTACTCCATTCCTGTGCTTTGGGACCAATTCCCAAAATAAACCACAGGCATGTATATATGCTCTGCTTTTCCCAGAACACCAGGCTAAGGCACATGAGATGTCAAACATACCATAGCTTCTCATTGCACATTGAATTTTGTTTTTAAAATTGGTGGTGTTTTTCTTACAGTGAGGAGCAATTTTCATATCTAGCCAAACTCCACTCAGCTGGAAAGTTGATAGTTGCAATTATTTGAAATATCTTGCCTCCCATCCTGAAGGTAAGCATAAACATTGAACAATTCCCAGTAGAGCTTTGCCATATGTCTAATGTCAGAAGAAAGCTTTCCCAAGTGAATTTCCTCCTCCTGTAAATGTGCCCACACTTGCAACTCTAATACTGTATTACCAGGGCTTTCTCTCCATTATAATTTTTAAAATGATGTAGCTATATGCCCATTCGGCCTTCTGAATACACAGCTTCAAGTTGAAAACTTGGCCTGGCTCTGTATTTTCTTTTTTGTGTGTCAGGTCATCAGCAAGCCCATCCCCCTGGTAGCACTAGAAGGGTGATTAATGTATGTTATTTCTACAATTAGGACTTAATGTTCCCTTACGTGATTTGCTCTGTTAGTTCTGGATGGGTTACTTTTGTTTTTATACTTTCTCACGACTGATTTGTATTTTTACGAGTCTTCTTTAAGACAGTGTAAAACAGAGCTGGCAGGAAGAAAATTACTACAAGATAATATTCAAATTACATCCTGATGTGTATACTTTAATTTACAAAGGGGAGGACAAATATTCATGAGGTGCTTTTCATGTTAACGGCAGAAAGGTCCCTGCATATTTGCAAAGCCAAAATCTTTTACTTGCCTAGAGAGCCCTCAAATAAAATGGGCTTTGACACCCAACTGTGCATGCCCTCTGAGATTCTCTGGGGACCTCTAAATTTTTAAGTGGTTTATCATGGTGTTCCTGCAGGAGGCATTATTTCTAATAATGAAATTGATGCATTATCACCTGGTTCCATAATGCCTCACCACTAAGTTGAAAAACTTGATTGAGAGGCTCAATATGGTCTTCTTTGTTCTTGGAGCCATCATTTCTTCTCTTTTTTTTTTTTTTTTTTTGAGATGGAGTCTCCCTCTGTCGCCCATGCTGGAGTGCAGTGGCATGATCTCAGCTCACTGCAAGCTCCACCTCCCGGGTTCAGGCCATTCTCCTTCCTCAGCCTCCCGAGTAGCTGGGACTACAGGCGCCTGCCACCACGCCTGGCTAATTTTCTGTATTTTTAGTAGAGACGGGGTTTCACCATGTTAGCCAAGATGGTCTCAATCTCCTGACCTCATGATCCGCCCGCCTTGGCCTCCCAAAGTGCTGGGATTACAGGCGTGAGCCACTGTGCCCTGCCCGGAGCCATCATATCTAACATAAAAATTTGCACTTGCATCAGTGTACTTTTTAAAAATGAAAGAAGTAAACTTTAAAATAAATATACTATCTATAACAGGTAGGTAGAAATTTTTATTTGCCAACCTGGAAATGTGCCACTTTCTGTGTTTGCAGAATGATTTAACAAGTCATATTAGTCAGGCTTCTCCAGAGAAACAGATCCAATGGGACATGGAGATAGATAGAGATAGAGATAGAGATAGAGATAGAGATAGAGATAGAGATAGAGATAGAGATAGAGATAGAGATAGTTGGAGACAGAGCTAGAGGTAGAGACAGACAGTGACAGAAACAGAGACAGAGATAGAGGTAGAGACAGACAGACAGAAACAGAGATAGAGATAGAGATAAAAATAGAGACAAAGATGGAAATAGACACAGATAGAGATTTATGATAAGGAATTAGCTTACATGGTTGTGGAGGAGGCTGGCAAGTCCAAAATCTGCAGAGCTCATGCCCCACTTCGAGTAGTAGTTCACCAACTACCACAGAACTGGGAAGATCTAAGGTTCCCACTTGGAGGCCCTCAGCAGGAAGATCTCACTTACTTGGAGTGGGGGAGGGTTTGCATTTTGTTCTATTCAAGGCTTCAACTGATTGAATGGAGCCCACCAACATTATGAGAGCAATCTGCTTTATTCACTCTACCAATTTAAACATTAGTGTCCTCCAAAAACACCCATGTAGAAACATCCAGGGTAATGTTTGTGAAAATATTTGGGCACTCTGTGGCCCAGCCAAGTTGGCAGATAAAATTAACCATCATTCAAGTCAACCTCTGCTCTGCAGTGGAGGATCATACCAATTCTCTGCTTCTCAAATTTCATAAGATGAAAAACAACTGGAGAAAAGTATGCCAATCTCAAATTCATGATAATATGACTCAAAAATTATCACAGCTTTTCTTATTGTCTAGCACTAAGTGTTCTCGATTATACATGGCAGGGAAACTAAGGTGTGTTATCATAAAAGACATATCCAAGATGAAGTGTGTTAAAAGGCTGTGCTATTTATATGAAACTTCATTAATGGTTGTGGTATGAAGATGGAACTTCTGGTCACTAATCTCTGGGCTTTACCTCAAGGCAAGCTCAACCTTACTACAAGATCGGAGAGGGGTGAGAAGTATAAATTAGGTTGGGTCCTACCCAGGATGTGGTTTTAACAGTAGGGCTTGATTTCTAGCCAAAAGCCCATATCACACTGCACAAAGCAGATGAGGTGAACTAGGACTCTTAATCTGAGCCAGCATTTGTAACCAGAGGATTAATATCTGACGTGTTAGGAGATTGTAGAAAGAATTAATACAAACTGCCATCTTCAATGTCAGTGTTGTGGTCCAGGCCAGTGGTTCCCATATGAAATAAGAGGAAAGAGTAAAGCTGATGGAATAATTGGAGATGCAAAAGCCAAGAACAATGTCTAGATCTTAGACAAGTAAATTGAGTCAACCCCAGAGGTAAATAAGAGATTAATCATAAAACCAGAGAAGAAGCCAAGTAACACAAAGCAGGGCCACTGGAAGGCTGCAGTATATTTGGCATAAACACACCAGAATGTCACAGATTGTAAGTGTAGAGTAACCCAACTAAGTTCAGAGCCCACACATGCATAGGTCCAAGTCTGCTAAAACACTGCCAGACTTGGCAAATTCTGTGTGAAGACAAGTTTAAGTGTGAGTTTGCTTGGAAAACATTTCCACAGGACCCTAGAAGTAGCTTTACAAAGTCAATGAAGTGCAAGCTTCAGGGCTGCTCAGTCGCATGGGCTACTTCCAAGGCCCTGTACCTATTTTCAAATGTATTATGCTATATTTTTTCTTTACACAAAGGATCCCAAACTTAACAAACTCTGGATCTCACAAAACTTGGATTCACTCCTGCTGAGACCCTATCAAAGCTCTTGAGTATAATCTGCAGTTTTCAGCTTTATCAGACCATGCACAACCCTTCCTGGGATCTGTTTGTGTATGGATCCTTCATAGGGAAGGTTTAACTTTTTACAGCATAAAGGGAATCCCAAAGCCTCATGGAACAAGATCTCATTCATAGCTCTCATATTCACAGCTTTAGACATTTATCTCAACTGAAAAATCCAACAGAAATAAGCTGTAAAATTGTACAAGTATTTTCCAAAATAAGGCAACTTTAAAAAAGGAGCCAATGCAATTCTATTTGTAGATAAGTATTGAAACAAGTCAGTAGAAACATAGAAAGAAACCAACTACTGTAGTTGACAGACACTAAAAATTCCTGAGCATCTCATCAAGTAAATGGTCCTGGAACTGGACACATATACCTAGAGTGTAAGTCAAGGGTAGCAGCCTACTAAATACTAACAGGCAAATAATATGATGAGGTAACCCTGAAGTGCAAATTATTTCCTAATATCTAATGTCATAAACATTAATAAGAGGGCAAAAGCTGAGTGTGCATCTATAGTACCAGTTACTCCAGAGGCTGAGGTGGTAGGATAACTTGAGCCCAGGAGTTCAAGTCCAGCCTGGGCAACATAGCAGGATCCAATTTATTAATAATAATAGTAATAAGAGGGAAAAAGTAACGCAGTAAAAGTGTCAGCAAAAATATACTCATTAGTGACAACAGGCAAGAAAATTAGATATAATGTTATCACTTTTAAAAGTTAGAGCCACAGAAACAAACATAAAATTATTGCATGATTGCACAGCCTAGAAATTCCTGCACACTCCTCTGTCACCTTCTCCCAGAATAAGAATGAGGAAAGAAGCTGATATAACAAAATCCTGAGAAATTGTGCTAATATTTCTCAAACCAGAGAGAATTGGACTAAAGTGGAAAACTAGGCTTATAGGTAAATAGTTTTGATGTTAATTAATACAAAATATATAAGGAGGTGATGAAGAGGAGATGCAAAAAAAAATGGATCCAAGAGGTACAGAAAAAATAAATACAGAAAATAATTGTCTGCAAAGTAACAGTGCTGGAAAACATTGGAAAATTGTAACATTTTGAGGAAAAGACAATGTAACTTTGGAGATAAGAATCATGGTTCTAGGCCAGTGGTTTTCAAAGTGTGGTCCCTACATTTTCTGGGGGATCCCCAAGACCATTTCCATGTGTCCTTAAGGCCTAACCCCTTTTCATCTTAGTACTTAAACATAATTTTCCTTTTTAACTGAGTTAACATTTGAATTGATGGTACAAAAGCAATAGCGGTCAACCGTAGGCGACCCCAGCCATATCAAGACAGTCACATAAAACTGTGCTAGTACTTATTGTATTCCTTATCACATGTTCACAGGAAACAAAATTAGAAAAGTCTGGTTTCAGGCCAGGTGCACTGGCTATCCGTGTAATCCCAGCACTCTGGGAGGCTGAGGTGGAAAGATTTCTTGAACCCAGGAGTTAAGAGACCAGCATGGGCAAGATAAGGAGACCTCACTTCTATAACAGAATAAAATAAAAAGGTTTGGCATGGTGGTGCATGCCTGTAGTCCCAGCTGAGGTGGAGACTGAGGTGGGACGATCCTTAGAGCCCAGGAGTTGGAGCCTGCAGTGAGCTATGATCACACCACTGCACTCTAGCCTGGGTGACTAAGGACTCTGTCTTTATTTAAATAAAATAAGTCCAGTTTTATTCATATCTTGAGTGAGGCAATAAATATTAATTATAATAAGTTTCAACCTTTACATAGAATTTTGTCATTATTCTGTCTGATGAAGTGGGAGGTATGAAAGTAGGAAGAGTATCCTGAGAAAACAATCAAAAAGCTGTGATTGTTCGAATTGCAAGCTGAACTAGCTGAATTTTTCATGAAACACCACTTTCACTTGAAAAATTATGAACACAGAAACTATGGTTTTTCAAACTTGGGTATTTGGCCAACACTTTCTTACAAATAACCAAAGTAAAACCGTTGCTTTAAAGAAAATAGCTGGCAATCTTTGTTGCAAGTGATATAATGCAAACTTTTATGTGAAAATTAAAATTTAGGAAAATTTGCGTTTGCCACCATGAGCTTGTCACATTTTCAATATTAAAAGACTTTTCTGTTTAAATCAGTGGTGATAATAACAAATATGATTTGATGGCTGTTATGGTTTGGCTGGGTCCCCACCCAAATCTTATTTGGAATTGTAGCTCTCATAATTCCCACGTGTTGTGGGAGGGACACAGTGGGAGGTAATTGAGTCACGGGGGCACGTCTTTCTCATGCTGTTCTTGTAATAGTGAGTAAGTCTCACAAGGTCTGATGGTTTTATAAAGGGGAGTTCCCCTGCATATGCTCTTTCTCTTGCCTACAGCCAGGTAAGAGGTGCCTTTGCTCCTGCTTCGCCTTCCACCATGATTGTGAGGCCTCTCTAGCCATGTGGAACTGTGAGTCAATTACATCTCTCTTCTTTATAAATTACCCTGTCTTGGATATGTCTTTATTAGCAGCATGATAACAGACTAATACAATGACATTATATAGTGAAATGTGTCGACATTGAGAAGATACGATATAATTCAGTGAACAATCATTCCAAATAAGCCCTGCTTGATAACACAAAATCAAGCATGAGAAAAGATCCATTCAAAGTGCAAGACAGACCTACTTTTAATGTCACAGGAGAAAAAGTTCATTGTTTTTAGATTCCACACTGCAACCACCTTTAAGAAATTCCCACTTGTCACACTTTTGTATGGTATCAAAGAGGAATGCTAATTATCTGAAAAGGTATTATAATACAGCTCTTTTGCAAGTACATATCTGGGGAAAGATGGATTTTCTTCCTATACTTCCACCAGAACAACACATTGAAACAGACTGAATTCAGAGATGAGAGAATCCACCTCCATTTTATTAAGGCAGCATTAAAGAGATTTGAAAAAATGTAAAGCAATGCCATTCTTTAAATTAATTTTCTTTTTGTTTTGAAAAATATAGGTTTAAAAAATAAAATATTTACGCTAACATGTTATAGGCTTTATTGTCATTAGTCCATGAATATATATATAAATATATATAAATATAAATATAAATATATATAAATATAAATATATATAAATATATATGTAAATATATGTAAATATATATAAATATATATATATAAACATATATAAATATATATATATAAACATATATAAATATAAATATATAAAAATATATAAAAATATAAATATATAAATATATATAAATATAAATATATAAATATATATAAATGTATATGTATAAATATATGTTATATATAACATATAATATAATATATAAAAATATATAATATATAAATATATATATAAATATATAAATATATATATAAATATATATATAGAAAGTGTTCTGTGTAAGCTTCTGATATGGTAAATATAGTAAGATATAAGCAGTATAAACAAAAGCTCTCTCTCGTTCTCAATAATTTTCAAGAGTGTAAAGGGGTGCAAAGACCAAAAAGTTTGAGAAACGCTATTCTAGGTCGTAGATTAAAAACATGAGCAAGACATAACTTACATTAGTTGAGGGTGTCAGACAAATGTGAAATATGGTTTTATAATATCTTTTCATTAAACTATATTGCACCTTAAATAGATTGCTTAAAAATAAATACCCTTTTTGAAAAATAAGTATTTATCTGAAGTTTAGTGTTGTTTGTAATGCCCTATCAATTTATTTTTCTTCTATAAAAATCGAGCACTATTTTTTCTGCCAGTTTCAAGTAAAATTAAATGCAACAGATTTTTACTAAAAGAAATATATATAGTCCAATAAAATTTAATTTTTTTCTATTTATTTATCTATCAAGCTAGCTATGCTTCCACTTTTAAATATGCACAGATGCACAGATAGGTGATGTAGACATGTGTTTATGCAATACCACCAGTGACTATTCTGAGTTGTGGGACTTGAGATGATTTTCTCTTTTTGCTCTCTTCTTGGTACTTTTTCTGAATAACTTAGGTTTCAAAAAATGAACGTCAACATTTGAGTAACAACTAATTTAAACACACACACATACACACTATAAAGACTGGCAAAGTAAGATTCCCAGCAACAGACGTCTCTTTGAAATACCTTCCATATCCAACACCTTCCTCTTCTTCCTAAGAGGAAGTTCTTGGCTAAACTTGACCTCGTCCAAACTTATAATAATTAATCATTGAGCATTTCCAAGTAAGCACCTAATATGGAACCACATTCCCAATCAAATCCCCATTTTTTTCTTAGGGTTCCTTAGTGCATCTATGACTGCTGTCTTGGTTCTCTGATTATGATCATATTCTAGTTGGGAGGCAAGTGGAAATACTTGTGTGATATTACTCAATTCTACACTATTTCCATGGCCTAGACTCCCAACTGAAAAACCCTAGAATTAAAAATCCTATTGTCCTTTCCTTGGATTTCACATCAATTAGCGCTGTAGGTACTCACTCTGCTAATTCTAGATATATCTATTATGCAGAGAAACCAATGACTGCATGTGTTTCTGAGGCCATTTCATTTCTGTTATGTTTTTCTTTCACAAGGCCAAATATTCATTTATTTTAAAAAAGAAAAAGCTGTTCATATGTTAAAGAGGTCAAAATGCAATTTAAGAGCATAATTCTCCCCAAAGAGAAGGGATACTAATAAATGCTAGGACATTTTCTACTGCTAAGTACCTTGTTGCTTTTGGTTAAGTAAACACAACAAATGGAGAAGAGCTTGGAGCCTCATGGGTGATCAGGGAGGGAATGTGAAAGGAAGATCAACAGATCAGCGTCTACCTGAACCACGGCTATTGAGAAGGAGCGATACAAGAGAGCACGGAAGACAGTTTTGTTAAAGAAAAATAGTCATTTATCTATGTTTCCATACATCAGGGAATATATATTTTAGCTTTGTTTCTCAGCAGAAATGTATTATTTCTACCTTCAATGATTAGAATGTTCTTCCCATTCTCCCACTGCTCAGAAATACTGACCTCACAAAGAGAACATCACTGCACTTCTGGTTAAAAGATTGCTCTAAATAGTTATTTCTCAAAAGAAGACATACAAATGGCTAATAGGTATATAAAAAGATGCTCAACATCACTATCATCAGAGAAATGCAAATTAAAACTAAAATGTGATGTCACCTCATACTTGCTGGAAAGGCTATCACCAAAAAGACAAAGGGTAACAAGTGTTAGGGTGTGGAGAAAGGGAAACTTTTATACACTGTTGGTGAGAATGTAAATTTGCACAGCCATTATGGAAAACAATATGCAGGTTCCTCCAAAAACTAAAAATAGAATTACCTTATGAACACAAATCCCACTGCTGGGTATACATCCAAAGGAAATGAAATCAGAATCTTGAAAAGACACCTGTGCTCCTGTGTCCAGAATTGGTGGGTTCTTGGTCTCACTGACTTCAAGAACGAAGCCCCGGACCCTCGTGGTGAGTGTTACAGCTCTTAAGGTGGCGCATCTGGAGTTTGTTCCTTCTGATGTTCGGATGTGTTTGGAGTTTCTTCCTTCTGGTGGGTTCCTGCTCTCGCTGGCTCAGGCACGAGTGAAGCTGCAGACCTTCATGGTGAGTGTTACAGCTCATAAAGGCAGTGTGGACCCAAAGAGTGAGCAGCAGCAGGATTTATTGCAAAGAGCGAAAGAACAAAGCTTCCACACTGTGGAAAGGGACTCCAGCGGGTTCCCACTGCTGGCTAGGGCAGCCTGCTTTTAGTCTCTTATCTGGCCCTACCCACATCCTGCTGATTGGTAGAGCCCAGTGGTCTGTTTTGACAGGGCGCTGATTGGTGCGTTTACAATCCCTGAGCTAGATACAAAGGTTCTCCAAGGCCCCACCAGAGTAGCTAGATACAGAGTGTCGATTGGTGCATTCACAAACCCTGAGCTAGACACAGGGGGCTGATTGGTGTGTTTACAAACCTTGAGCTAGATACAGAGTGCCGACTGGTGTATTTACAATCCCTGAGCTAGACATAAAGGTTCCTCACGTCTCCACCAGACTCAGGAGCCCAGCTGGCTTCACCCAGTGGATCCCGCACCGGGGCTGCAGGTGGAGCTGCCTGCCAGCCCCGCCCCGTGCGCCCGCACTCCTCAGCCCTTGGGTGGTCGATGGGACTGGGCCCCGGAGCAGGGGGCGGCGCTCGTCTGGGAAGCTCCGGAGGCACAGGAGCCCACGGAGCGGGTGGGAGGCTCAGGCATGGCGGGCTGCAGGTCCCGAGCCCTGCCCGGCGGGAAGGCAGCTGAGGCCCGGCGAGAAATCGAGCGCAGCGCCGGTGGGCCGGCACTGCTGGGGGACCCAGTACACCCTCTGCAGCCGCTGGCCCGGGTGCTAAGCCCCTCATTGCCCGGGGCCGGCAGGGCCGGCCGGCTGCTCCAAGTGCGGGGCCCGCCAAGCCCACGCCCACCCGGAACTCCAGCTGGCCAGCAAGCGCCGCGCGCAGCCCGGGTTCCCGCTCGCGCCTCTCCCTCCACACCTCCCTGCAAGCTGAGGGAGCCGGCTCAGGCCTTGGCCAGCCCAGAAAGGGGCTCCCAGTGCAGCGGTGGGCTGAAGGGCTCCTCAAGTGCCGCCAAACTGGGAGCCCAGGCAGAGGAGGCGCCGAGAGCGAGCAAGGGCTGTGAGGACAGCCAGCATGCTGCCACCTCTCACTCCCATGCTCACTGTAGCACTATTCACAATAGCCAAGACAGGGAATCAACCGGTGTCCATCAAGGATGAGTGGATAAAGGTATCCATTCACACACATACACACACACACACACACACCATGCCCACCACAAATGATTCCTTTTTAAAATAATGAAACTGAACATTTCCATCATCAAATCTACAGCCTTGATGTCATAATCCTTAGTACTCACATGTATTTTGGAGCTCTCCCTTCTGTAATTAAGCTCGTCAAGCTCATCAATTAAATTCTATCACTCCATGGAAAAACTGGGTGTTTTTTTTGTTTTGTTTTGTTTTGGTTTTTTTTGAGACGGAGTCTTGCTCTGTAGCCCAGGCTGGAGTGCAGTGGCGTGATCTCCGGCTCTCTGCAAGCTCCGCCTCCCGGGTTCACGGCATTCTCCTGCGTCAGCCTCCAGAGTAGCTGGGACCACAGGCGCCCGCCACCATGCCAGGCTGATTTTTTTTGTATTTTGTATTTTTAGTAGAGACAGGGTTTCACCCTGTTTGCCAGGTTGGTCCCAATCTCCTGACCTCGTGATCCGCCTGCGTTGGCCTCCCAAAGTGCTAGGATTACAGGCATGAGTCACCGCGCCCAGCCCTGGCTTCTTACATTTAATGGCAAAATAAAAACTTTCCTGGAATTCAAGGGAGCAATGTGAAATGCTCATATTTGAGATTGTTTGTCTCTTCAAATTGCCCACTGGAAATATTGATGTAGAAGAACTCCCTGATCTTCTTCAGATAATCAAATTAAATTGTATGGATTTTCACCGATTTGTGTATTGTGTTGTTTGTAGACGAGGTATCCAACATTTCATTCAAGCCACCCAAATGTCAACAGTGCCTATCCACAAATAGAGTGCCTTGATTTATTTTTGAAGTGCTAGTATTTTATTTTTTATTTTTTAATTTTTGAGATGGAGTCTCACTCTGCCGCCCAGTCTGGAGAACAGTGGCGTGATCTCAGCTCACTGCAACTCCACCTCCTGGGTTCAGGTTATTCTCCTGCCTCAGCCTCCCAAGTAGGATTACAGGCACCCAACACCATGCCCAGCTAATTTTTGTATTTTTAGTAGCGACTGTGTTTCACCATGTTGGCCAGACTGGTCTCCAACTCCTGACCTCAAGCGATTCGCCCACCTTGGCCTCCCAAAGTGCTGGGATTACAGACATGAGCCACTGTACCCCATCCAAAAATGCTATTATTCTAGAAAGTAGTTATCATGTAATTCTGCCCATAATGATTCATGATGGAATTCCTTCCATAAGTTTCCTGGGTACTAAAAATGTTGGTGGGTTAAAATAAATTTCCTAATTGAAAAGCATATAAAAAATTGTACCACATGCTGACTTAATTGGCTATTCTGCCATCATTTCTATCAAGATAAATAATCAGAAAACCTAGCCAAGACACCATATTCATTTTCTTAGGATTCTTTCAGAGGAGGAACATCTCTACCTTTGATAGACTCTTCCACAAAGAGTTACTCAGTCCACCAGTGGCGGCAATTGAAATAAAAGCCTCACCATTATCCCTTATTTCCAGTAGTGGGACTTTATTTACTTTAGCTCATTTTAAGGAACCTGTAGCTAAATCCCATTGCCATCCTGCCCTATCACCGTCAAGCAAATAGCCAAAATGGAAGGATGGTGCAGAATTCTCAGAACTCCCTTAAGCACATTGTCAGAAGAGATGGACCAGTCAGCTTTTATAGGTTCCTCATTACTCAAGATGTCACTAAACCTCTGTCAACAAGATAGTTCTACTGACTTATTAAGGGAGTGATTTCTAAAGACTTGCCTTTAAACCTCTAAACCAACTAAACTCTATAAGAAAATAGAAACATATTCTTATAGTTTGTCTGCATCTACTCACTCACCTTTTAAACATAAGATTCAGCACTTTCTAAAATTGGCTTATCACTCATTTGCCTGCAAAGGTTTAGATTGATAGTGCACTAGAGTGGTCCTGTGGTGGTTGTTTACAGAGTTATTTCTCCCCCAGGGGAACCCAAACAGAAGTAAGTCACAGACTCTCCCAGCCATCAGCATAAAGTAGCTCTCTAAACTTCCTGAGGAATCGTCAAAGCTACAAAATAAGAGAAGCAACGACCTTTTGGTATGGAGACTACATCGTTTAAGATAAGTGTATTTGTCAGGGCCCTAGCAAGATACAGATAACATACTCTGGGGTAATTTGAGGTAGGTTTAGTAAGGCACCTTTTACAATAGTGTGAGCAGGAAGTAGGTATACTTCAAGAGATAGTGCAGTAGCTTGAAACTAGTGTTGGTGGAAATGTAACCACTCTTAGTCTCAAGGGGCTGAGAGAAGGGAGCAGTTATTGGAAAGGTTATGAAGAGAGTTTATAAAGAGAACCATGTTGAGAAGAGCAATCACCTTCATCAAAGGGCTCATCAGCCCAAGGCAACTCTTCAGGGATGGACCTAAGGAAATATTGATCCTAGCCTCACTCATTTTCTTCCCTCTGATCTTCTCCCCTTAGTTAGTCTTCTACTAACTTCCCATAGGTTGGACCACCTAGAAACCAGAAGGCAAGGGATCTCAATGATGCAGTCTGTCCAGTGAGCCTTCCTGAATAAACGGAGGGTTGGAAGGGTAGACGGTGGATGCAGAGAGAATAAAAGAAGTGACTTCACTAGTACAACCCAGGGAGAGCCTTGCAAATGAACCATTTGTAAGGATTGAGCAGGAGGCAAGAAAAATGTGTGGGAATAATACCAGGGCTTAGTCCTTTGGAATTCCTGCCATCGTCTGTCTTTTGGATGGAATTACCCTCAGATAGTAGCATAACAGGTAAGTGTCTTGACAAAAGCCTGTTCTATGTCTCTCTTTATTATTCAGTAAGATCTCATAAAGAAAATCCAGGTAGGCGTTTGGAAGTTAAAATTTATTGCCATCTTCAGCCATTATCAAAACACTGGGATCAGAACCTGAAGAATGATGCTCTGAGTATAGGGGGTGGAGAGGAGAGTAAAAAAATTCAGGCCCAGGACTAGGTCAATAGAAGCTCACAAAGAAGATGGCAATAATCATGAGTCTATGTTTACCTTTCTATGTATTTATAATACATCCACAGCTAGATACCTTAAATATTATTTGTTTCCCTTTAATCTCTCTTTATGATATAAACAGAATAGCTCATTTTCTTTAAGAAAAATATTATTACCACTCACATACATTCATTTACATAGGTTGTGTATGCAGGTGCACGTGTGTGTGTGTGTGTGTGTGCATGCCTTTTTGCTCTTTGGCTCTCAAATTGGTATAACAAACATTGTTGTGGTGGTTCTTTATACTCCAATCTCCTGAAAGACAGGAACTGTTGCAAACCTCTCCTATCTCCATCTCCAGTACAGAGTTGTGCACTTATTGCACTGGCCACCCTTTTCATAGCTACACAATACATTTCTACAGACTGACTTGTTTACCAGAATTCTCAGTACATGTTTCAGATATCCTGTCTGTTCTGGTTCCCAAATCCATCACTTACTTGATCTGTGACTTCTGTTTGAGATGGGTGAGACAAAATGTGGCAACCTGTTTACTTTTTACTCTAAATACAGTTCATAGCAAATGAAAAGATCAAAGTATGTGCTCTGAATACAAAAAAAAAAAAAAACCTACCAGAGGTTTGCTATCCACATTTTTGTCTTGTTGTTTGCACTTTTAAAGGAATAAATGCAGGTATAATAAATAAAACTCTAAAATAAGTGAAAAAATATTCTATGTCAGAGAATTGTCTTTATCCTGGTCTGGGACATAGAAAGACTAGGTTCTAGCACTAGGTTTTCCAATAATTTGCTGTTTTATCTTGGGAAAGTCATTTAACTAGTCTGATGCTGGGTTTCTCTGATGATAACTGAAGAGGGTAAATGGGTGGATTTGCATATGAGATTTAATGCTATTTTCAGCTCCAAAGTTTTGCTTGTAACATAAACTAAATAGCAATAGGAGAAATGCATGCACAAAGAAAAAATAAAAAAGCATTAAGAAATAGCAACAAATTATTGGTAATCAGATGTTGATAATTATAGGATGCCATCCAAAGTCCTAGAAGAATGAGGCCATAATGGCGAAAGCTTAGGAAATAACTGCCTAGAAAAGTGAATGAATAAGGTCCCTCCTGACAGATGTCAAAAATCGAGAAGCAAAGAAAGCATTGAGTGATGGATGAGACTGAAATTAAACCTAAGGTGATGCTGGAAGAGATGACTAATGATGTGAATTTCTTCAGCTTTTGTCAGCTAAATGTCATGGCATTCCTGCTAAATCGGTACTGCAAGCTTGGCATTCAAAGCCCATGAACTACCCTAGAATAGAGCAGATCCACTGCACCATCATATGCTTCATTTGGAAAGGGTTATGATAAGGACATGTAAGTTGCTACAGCCACAACAAATATAGAATCTTTTCTTTGAGGACTTCTGGATAGAGAGTTGATGAGGGAGGGGCTTTGAGGAACCTAATTTTATTCAGAAAAATCTTTGCTTCTATAGAGGGAGAAAGATGTCATTATCCCAAACGAAACCCTTATCTATTCAGAACCCATGTAATATAAGCATGGTTCAAAAAAGAAACAAATCAACAACATAAATAAGCGAAAACTCGTGTGGTTTTCTAAAAATTCATGTAGAGTGTCTAGCTTCAGAGTCTACAAAAAGCCTTAAAAACATTCCTTTGCCCACTCACTCCTACCATACCCTGTACTGTTTCAAAGTATTTTGCTTCACAAGTCAAACTGCAAACCAGAAATTTTCTTCCCTCCCTAACTTATTCCCTTTCTCTCTCCTCTTTCATCACATAGCTAGGAGTAACTTTGCTTAAGCATGAAAGAATATCTTCCTTTTAGGAGTTAGGGAAGAAGGAACATTGTTGTGGGAATTCCAAAGTTCTCTTTGCTGGGCTGCTTGAGGATGGAGACTGAATAGTACCCCTTGATCCATGAGATCATCTGTGCCTAGCGGTACATAGAATTCATCCTAGAGGGCTAAAATGAAAAGAAGCTAATGAAACCTCTAGTTATAGAAGTGTGTGTAGGTTCAGGAAGAAACAAAGGATGTTGAGGAACCGGAGGCCAGCAATTAATGTCCGTTGGGCTGAAGCACTGGGAGGTGAGGACAGTGCCCCTGGAGCCCAGTGGGAACCGAAGCTCAGAGTAAGTTCTGCCCAGCAGCGGCTGTAGTCAAGGAAGGCCCAGCTGCAGGAAGAGACAGACTCAATGCAGAGGACTTGCGGGGAAGGCGCCCCCTGCTTCTCATGCCCACTTTTCTCCTGCCCCCTGATCCCCAGTCACCAATTAGCAGGAGAGCCTGGGTGACAAGGTAGAGCGGGTTCAGTCTCACAGGGCACAGAGCAGGGAGAACAGAGTCAAGAACAGAGAGGCAGAAAGACAAACAGAACAACCAGTACAGCTACCTCCTACTTACATAAACATCACTGCTTAGCCAGCAGTCCTGGTTACTTCCTAATCACTAATTTTATTCTGTCACGTAGAATCCCTTATTCTTTTCCTTACTTCTTAAGACTATATGCAAGCCAGGATCTCAGTCTGAGCTGGAAGAAAAATACTCTAGGAACTCCTGTGAAGGAAAATGCGGAATGCACTTCATACCCACCCCAGGCTGAGAACAGTCTGATAGCCGTGGTGTGTCCAGAATTGGTTCCTTCCAGTGGGTTCTTGGTCTCGCTGACTTCAAGAATGAAGCCGCAGACCCTAGCAGTGAGTGTTACAGTTCTTAAAGATGGTGTGTCCAGAGTTTGTTCCTTCAGATGTGTCCACAGTTTCTTCCTTCCAGTGGGTTCGTAGTCTCCCTTATTTTAGGAGCAAAACCACAGACCATCGTGGTAAGTGTTCCAGCTCATAAAGGTAGTGCAGACCCAAGGAGTGAGCAGCAGCAAGATTTATTGTGAAGAGTGAAAGAAGAAAGCTTCCACAGCATGGAAACGGACCCAACGGGTTGCCGCTGCTGGCTCAGATGGCAAACTTTTATTCCCTTATTTGGCCCCACCCACATCTGGCTGATTGGTCCATTTTACAGAGCACTGATTGGTCCTTTTTACAGAGTGCTGATTGGTACGTTTTTACAGAGTGCTGATTGGTACGTTTTTACAGAGTGCTGATTGGTGCGTTTACAATCCTTTAGCTAAACACAGAGTGCTGATTGGTGCGTTTACAATCCTTTAGCTAGACAGAAAAGTTATCCAAGTCCCCACTCGAACCAGAAAGTCCAGCTGGCTTCACCTCTCAATAGCCTGCCCATCAGCTGTTCTGTTGCCCTGTAGCCTGCTCCAGATTATCAGTGAAATCACCGCAGCCAGAGACCCTGTGAGTTCCCACATATTTGATACATTTATTACAAGATTTTCTCTCTTAGAACTTGACATTTTGCAGTGGGTGTTTTGCATGGTTCTGAATCAACTCCTTTATCCTCTAAGGTCTAGAGGTGGACTGAGCTTAGAGCTTATAGAGTTTCCATCAAGGATCAGAGAGATTTAAACTTAGGGCTCAGTGCTCACAGGAACCCAGCCATGAGCTAACATCAATGTTGTTTCATCTTATAATATCTATTCTGAGATTTGGGATGCCAGTTTGGGTACCCTAACCATCATCATAGTAATATGTTCACAGATTAAAAAAACACAAATTCCTTGTTTAAAACAAATTACATATATATGTCATTTTTGGATTACCTTTAGCTAGATATAAAGTTGGCTGTTGCACATTCCAAAAATTTATAGAGTGAAAAATTTAACCTGGAACAGTTAGGGAATAAATAAGGAAAAACATTTAGGTGTACTGAATCTGTTTCATTTTACAAATTCCACTTTTATAAACACACTGAAAGTGAGCTCAGATTCACTAAATATTGATTGCCAGCATAGCAAGAATTTTACTTAAAAATTTCTCTTCTTGTGTTGATGAATCTGTATCAAGCGTTCTGATATTTGGCAACTAAAAGGAGCAGAGTGCTCTGTAGCCCTTTGAGGCTGTTGCTCACATCCAGGCAGTAGTGATTGGGCATTGGTTCTTCCCAAAAGTGGAGATGGTCTCACTAGCTTTAGCTATTAGGAAGGGTACTGTGTTACCTCTCCTAGGAATGTACACTGCTCCATTTTCCCTGTCTGGAATTCTTTAAAAGTTTTTCTGGTTTTTTCCTTTGTTTTGTTTTTAAACCTTGATAATCTCACCCTTCATTAAAATCTCACCTTCCTCTTGTCTTTTCCTCTTGTCTCCAACATCTACTTCTTGTCTCCTTTGCTGGGCTCTCTTTTGTATTCTGCTGATCCCTAATGTGGACAGCATGTAAAGCTTTTTCTTTTTTTCTTCTCTCCTCTCTATTCCTGCAGGCCACTTGCCACAGCTCTCTCCAACTCCACACCTTCCACTGTTTCTTTAACCTCAGCTTCTCTTCTCGGCTCCAGCTCCACATTTCCAGCATTCTGGGGATGTTTTATAGTGTTCATTTCCTAGGACTCCTGAAAAAATTACCAGTAATTTGGTAGCTTAAAAAAAATTACAAATGTATTCTGTTGCAGTTCTAGAGTCCAGAAACCTGGTCTGCTTCTCTGGGCTAAGCCTCCTTCTGAAGACACCGGAGGAAAATCCCTAGCTTTGGCTTTTCCAGCGTCAAGAGCAGCCTTGCATTCCTGTTCCGGTGAGTAGTGGCCGCCTGTATTTTGGTCTCATGGCCCCTTCTTCCATCTTCTTGGCCAGAAGTAAAGGATCTTTAAATGGCTCTCTGTCTGCTGAGGGGGTCTCCCCCACTCCTCTCTTCTGTTTGTGTGCCATCTGCGTCTGCCTCTGTCTTATAAGGATACATAAGGGTCCATGCCGATCATCCAGGATAAGCTTCTGGATCAAAATTTTTAACTTAATCACATTCGCAAACATTTTCTTTTCTTTTTTTCTTTTCTTTTTCTTTTTTTTTTCCACATAAGCTAACACCCACGTTCACATTAAGATGTGAATATCTTTTGGGAGGGGGGCATTTTTTAACCTAATAGCCTTCCCTCTGGGTAGTTTTGAGCATCCTAATTTCAATACATAGTGGACCTTCTGTTTCCATGGGTTCTGTGTTCGTGAATTCAACCAACTATGGATCGAAATTTTTTTTTTTTAAATGGATGGTTGTGTTTGTACTGAGCCTTTTCAGACTTTTTTTTCCTGTTATCATTTCCTAAACAATGTAGCACAACAACTATTTACTTAGCATGAATGCTGTACTAGGTTTTATAAGTAATCTAAAGATAAAGTATACGAAAGGACATGTGTACATCATATACAAATACTATACCATTTCATATCAGGCACTTGAGCATCCTTGGATTTTGGTATTAGCAGGGGGCTCCTGAAACCAATGCCCTAGGGATACCGAGGGATGACTATACATGACTGATTTGAAGACTTTTGTATTTCTAGTATTGGTGTTTCAATCTCCTGGCTTGAAACCTCAGTCACCTCTCTCTCAGTGCTTGCATTTACACACAGTCACATTTTCCTCGCACAGTCCTTCTCACCTGCCCTTGTTTCCTCTCTTCCTATTGTTACCAACTTAGTCCAGGTCCCTATTTATTTATTCTTAGTCCACTGAAGTAAACTCTTAATAATCTTGCTGCCAGCAGTCTTCTTCATTATAAATGCCACTACTAGGTACAATTTTCCTAAATCAATCTTTGATTGTGGCATAAAACAAGCCTCCCAAAGCCACCTACCTGCCTGGAGTCACAGTCTCACTTAGCCACATGAGGCTCAAATCTCCTAGCCTGATATTCAAACATCCCACTCTATCTTTTAATTTGCTTATAAGCCTGCTCTTCTAGGTAAACCCATTACTCAAAGAGAAACTTCCATTTTCCAATTTTTGCCCCCTTTTTTATTATTTATGTTT
Source organism: Homo sapiens (assembly GCF_000001405.40). Taxonomy (NCBI): domain Eukaryota; kingdom Metazoa; phylum Chordata; class Mammalia; order Primates; family Hominidae; genus Homo; species Homo sapiens. The sequence continues at coordinate 107,756,834 of NC_000002.12, forward strand.
TTTATGGAAAGGAGCCAAGGTTTTCTTTAAAAGAATAAAATATGTTCTATGCCATAAATTCGATACATGTCAAACAGTTATGAAAAGCATTTTATTCAAGATCGGTGGCTGGGCCTGGTGGCTCGTTTCTGTAATCCCACCACTTTTTGGAAGGCAAAGGCAGGCAGATCCTTCAAGCCCAGGAGTTTGAGACCAGGCTTGGCAATATGGCAAAACCCTGTCTCTACCAAAAAAAAAGTTGGGTGGAGTGCACACCTGTGATCCCAGCTACTCAGGAGGCTAAGGTGGGAGAATCACCCGAGCCTGGGAAGGTTGAGGCTACAGTGAGCCATGATCAGGTCACTGCACTCCATTCTGGGTGACAGTGAGAGCCTGTCTCAAAAAAAAAAAAAAAAAAAAAAAAAACAATAACAACAAAAGAGTGTTAAGACTTCCTGAAAATTAGAATAGTTGAAACCTCTCCTCCAACTCTTCCTCACGTTCAATTTCCCATATCGTTCTTCCTCCTCTTCACTTCTGCTGTTCTTAAACAACCCATTTCACATGGCCCCTCCTTTTTGAAGTCCCCTCTGGTTATGACGTCACGCAGTGATCTTTTCTTCCTCTGAACAACCTAGTTCTTATTGACACGGTTCTTGTAGTGCTTTGCACTGTAGTTATTTGTGTCAATTCTTTTTAACCTTATGAGATTTTAGGTTCCATGAACAATGTTACTACACCATATTTTCTAACTTCCATTTTCCCTTTGTGGAATGCTGGCTTACATATAGTAAATACCTATCAAAACACCTGGTAAGTAAACCAGTGAATTAGGAAATGGCTGGTTTCCCTTTGGTTCTTTCCGGTTAAGTCCTAGCACCATGTTTACTACCTTTGTCCCCTTAGTTCCAAATCATGAATAAAGCTAAAAAAAAAAATCCTATACTTAGGTATCCTTTGGCTATGGCCGTGAACTCTTTAAGAAAGCTCAGAAACAATGAGGACACTGTCAGCTACCTCATTTCAATTATCAAGGCCTGGGGGAAAGTTCTTTTTATTGATAGTTTCTGCACTGTCCTAATGTTGCATCATTCTCCAGAAACAGTTCTTTGCTAAAATTGGACATGCAAAGATTACTTTTCTATTTGATGAACTTCAACACCCCCATCAACAGTTACTAGAGTCACTTATGTGTGATGGTACAGATATTGCATAGCTGTTTTTTGTAACTGAAAGCATATGATCAGAAAAAGAGGCCATTACCAAGAATTATTCTCTAGGCTGCATGTTAAATCTAAAATCAAATTACAGTTTAATCGACTATTTCATAGTAATTGCAGCATTTTTAAAAAGGAGTGACACAATTATTTAGGCAAGTGATGTAGAGGATTAAGTCCAGTATGTAATTTAGAGAAGAAAGAAAAGGAGAGAAATGTGTCTCTCTTTCCTTATAACTCAGAAGTGATAAAAACAACAGTAATATTTGAATATAGTCCCTTATCGTCCCTCATGATAGGACAAACAATTAGTAATATTCTGTGAAATTTGGAACCACATTTATATCTTATTTTGCCTAAATGACAGGTGGGGTACACTGGTGCAGAGTAAGGGACAATGGGATTTTCCAATGGAATAGCCCACACCTAACCATTGGCCAATACAGGAGCCAACAGCCACATGTAGCTATTGAGCATATGAAATGAGGCTCCTCCAAATTAAGATCTGCTGTAAATAAAAATAAGCACTGTATTTTGTGGAGATCTTATAAAAAATGATGTAAATTATCTCTTCAATACCATCTTATATTATTAGCTTTGAATTGATAATATTTTGGAGACATTGGGTTAAGTAAGCTATATTGTTATAACTAATTTCAGCAGTTTCTTTTCACTTTTTAAATGTAGCTCTCATTATATTTCTGTTGTACAGTGTTGGCCTAGACCATGACTCTATTTATTTAAACAATTGCCCAATATACATTTATTGAATTATAAATCCATAAAGTGCCTCAAAAACCTATTGGAATGACCCAACATGAACATCATGAAATGAGAATTAGATACCAATGTTCAAGTAAGGTGAAACAGGTAGTTTTCCTGAACTTAACTGCATTCATTAAGAGCACTTCTCAGGTTACTTAGCATATCTTTTCAATTTGCTCCATAGAATCATACTAGTCATACATTTTCATCTTCAATGTTCAGATGAGAACACATCTGGGGCACAGTAAGGAGGACCGATTGAGGGTCACACAGTCAGTATTGGCAAAACTGGGCCCGAAACACAAATCTTTGTCTCCAGATCTTTTATCTTGAGTTCATTGGCATTAGGACTAAAGTTTAATCATGTGTTGCATTAGTCAAGGGCCTACAGAAAAATAGAACCCAAGGGATCAGAGAAGGTGCATGGGGTCCTTTAAGGACACTGAGGATCTCCTTCCAAGTGTAGCTGTTACAGCCCTGGGAAAGGGTGTACCCTGCCGCCTCTCCTAGGGTGGGTGAGCAGGTCTCACACAATAAATCCTCTCTCTAACATTCCAGTCTCCCTAAGCCTTTGGGTACCTTCCTCTATGGTATACCAAGGCCTCTCTGGCATTCAGCTTTATTTAATGCAGGCCACCTTTTCGTTTGTGTTTCAGCCAACTAATCAAACAGTTGGAACCTTTTCTAACCCCATGAGCTACAAGGTTGAATCTAAAATTTCTGCTTGGTAGGCCCATGTCAATACATTAGGCCTGATCTAATTTATGTTTCTTCCATTATACCACACCCTTATATCCATGCTTACATATATTCTATGGATTTTTGTTTGTATAAACTGAACAATCATGTAGTTCTTTTGGAGTGTTGCATATCTATTCATAGTTCATACTTTGTACTTGAGTCTAGTTATGGGTCTAGAAGTAAAGAAGGGAAGCAGAAGTAGGGTTGTGAAAAGAATCGGTAGTATTTTGAAAGGCAAATACCTCAGGGGAAACCATTACAGTTTTCTTGGGTAAAGCAGGGTGAACATCTCCAGACAGGGTGGAAGGGCTGCTTCTACCAGGAAAAAACTTTCACTCGAATTTTAGGGGTTCAGTGTCCTCACCTTAATCAGAATCTTCTCATATGTCTCTATTCCAAATTTCAGGGTCTTGTTTCTTCCCAATTAATGCCTTCACTTTAAAGCAGACACCCGACATGGTTGGGAAATTCATTTAGTGTTGTAAGTCAACCACTTGGAGGAAAAGACTCTGGTTTGGTTTTCAGCAGCAATTTCAGCTCTGCTGCTACAGAACATAAAAGTTTTTTTAAGGGCAAACATGGAGACTTTCAAATCTTTTATGCAGCTCTTGATCTGAGAATTTATGTCCCCGAACTTATCCTTTTGTTTCTCCACTTTGTCCATTGACATTAGGGCAACCAGCCAATCTCACTCATCACGCTTATTTGTTTGACAAAAATGTTCTGAGATATCAAATACATGATCACCAATCACCAAGACCTGGGTTTTTTGTTTTTTTGGTTTTTGGTTTTTTTGTGTGTTTTTTTTGAGACAGAGTCTCACTCTGTCATCCAGGCTGGAGTGCAGTGGTGTGATCTTGGCTCACTGCAAGCTCCATCTCCTGAGTTCATGCCATTCTTCTGCCTCAGCCTCCCAAGTAGCTGGGACTACAGATGCCTGCAACCACGCCTGGCTAATTTTTTGTATTTTTAGTAGAGACACGGTTTCACTGTGTTAGCCAGGATGGTCTCGATCTCCTGACCTCGTGATCTGCCTGCCTCGGCCTCCCAAAGTGCTGGGATTACAGGTGTGAGCCACCGCACCAGGCCAGACCTGGGTTCTTATAAGTGTTTAATTAGGAGCATCCAATGGTGATATTTTGTGTATATTTGCTGCCACGTCATGCTAGGATTATCAATGCTTTTTTTTACTACTAATTCCTAAAACCCTGAAAGTAATTTAGAGAAATCGCCTTTAAGTTTCCATTCTCCCAGAATAACTTTCAGTACCAAAATCTGATTAATCAGCATTCTCCAGAAAACTAGACCCAATACAATGAATATACGTATATACACACAAACATGTATTCCTATATCTGCATATATATAATATAACATATATGAGCATTTGCATATTGGTTCATGTGTGGCTTATGTGATTTGAGGGCCTTGTAAATGCTAAATCTATAGGGCAAACTGGCAGGCTGGAAATTTAGATGAGAGTTTATGTTGCAATGTTGATTCTGAAATTCACATGGAAAGCCAGACCGAGGAGACTCAGACAGGGTTACAATCATTAGGCAGAGTGGTTTCTTCTTTGAGAAACCTTAGTCATTGCTCTTAAGGCCTTCAAGTGATTGGATGAAATTCATCCATATTATGGAGAGTAATCTGCTTTACTGAAAGTCTGCTGATTTAAAAAGAATCACATTCAACACATTCCTTCATAGAACATCCAGACTGGTATATGACCAAACAACTCGGCACCACAGTCCAGCCAAGTTGATACATAAAATTAACTATATCACATGCCTTTAATGATAGAGGTTAAAAAGCTTATAACTGAGTATTTGTGTATTGGCTTCAGCAAATTACTTCATAGAACATCCAGACTGGTCTGTGACCAAACAACTCGGCACCCAGCCAAGTTAACACATAAAATTAGCTATCACATGCCTTTAATGATACAGGTTAAAAGGCTTATAACTGAGTATTTGTGTATTGACTTCAGTCATTAGAAACAGAGGATACCGTAAGTAGTAGTTGCAATATGATTGTCAATTTTTACCGAAAAACCCACCTCCCTGGATTATGGTGATGAGAATTTAGGAGTCTCAGAATAGTCAGAAAACAACAGCTAATATTGAGTGCTTACTAGGTATCAGGGGTTATATTAAATATCGTGTATTCGTTAATTGATTTTAATTCCCACAAAAGCCCTATAATAGTTGCTGCTATTTTATTTTTAAAAAGATGCACAAAATGGCTGAAGAAATTATCCAAAGTTTTGAAGCTAGGAACTGGTAGAGCAGGAATCAAACCCAAGCAGTTTGATTCCTGAGTTGATGATCTCAGGGAAACAAAGAAGAAAGCGTGTCAGCCCCCAAAATACTTGTGAGTCTAGTGGAAAAGGAAATTATCAGTATTTGCAGATTAACCTTGATAAAACATAAGATTCAGGTGCTCTCAATTATAAAGCCAAATCATAATTTCAGCTTTGCAAAGCACTTAAGGAAAAATGAACATACTATTTATGAGCTACAGGCTGAAATATAGACATGTCTTCTTAAAATTAGAGATGTAATACTTACATACTATATATAGCATATATGCATATACTATGTGTAGATGTTTAACAGTAAATGGTTAAGATGATTGTTAAGGGTGTGAACTATATCTCCAGAATGGAAAAACATAAACTTTAAAGAGTAAAAACAAAAAGAAAACAAAACAAAAGCCCCAATGCAAAAAAGCTAGGAGGTCTAATATTCCCTTTGATAAAAAGAAGTGCTTTTAGAAAATACAGGTCAACAGTGCTCATTCTTGGATTTTGTTTGAGCAACTAGAGAGGAAAGATGAAAAGATAGAGAAAAAAAAACCTCTAGTTTTGAAGAAAATCCGTTTATATAAGTTGTATTGAGTTGTTTTCTGCGATACAGCCTAACCTAGCTGTTACACCAGCAGACTTCCAGAAACCATCGCTCAACTGTGTTGTTATTTGGCTTGCGGAAAATAGGTTGGAGTCTAAAGCAGGGCCTTTAATGTCATTCTATTGGATTTTGGAATTCTGCTCTCCAGTTATTGTTCTTTGTTGCCAGTCCAGAGGTATAAAGTGACTGGGCGTCTGTAGCTCTACCTAGTGGCAACTTCATTCTGCTGAGAAGTGACATTCTTTCAGCATCCAGTTGGAGGGAGACATGTTTAGAAGCTGCTGAGAGAGAATATTCAGAAGTGCTAAAAAGAGGCCTCGCTAGTGTCACAGAGGCTTTTTTTCTGGGAGTCTGACTAGGGATCACATGTGTTTTAGAGCCTAGGTTGTTAAGCAGCTCGTTATATATGATATTTTGAAATCCCTTCACTAATTATCAAGAGATAATTTTAAGCATCTACTACAAGCAGAGCGTGCTACTCTACTGAGAGCTGTAGGAATTCAAACGTCTTTTTCTCTTTTATTTCTCTGCCTGGCAAGACTTTTCATCCATCTGAATACTACTCAAATGTCACCTCCTTTGTAAAGTCAATCAACCCAGGAAAGCAATGTTCTGCCCCCAGTCCTATCCACCTACAGTCCTTTGCACATACATTAAATATAGGACCATCATTTTGTGGCATGGTTATCAGACAATGTCAAGCTCCCCATTTAGGACTATGTATCACTTAGAGAAAAAACATATATTCTTCATGTAGGCATTCCCAGAGCCCAGAGATACTGGATTTTGCCTTCTCAATATTTAGATACAGTAGAGTTCTCTGTTTTGTCTTTTATTTCATTTTAATTGGGGAATAAATAAAGTAAAAAGAGGCAGGTGTAGTGGCTTACACCTGTAATCCCAGCATTTTGGGAGGCTGAGGCAGGATTGCTTGAGGCCAGAAGTTGGAGCTAGTCTGGGAAAGACAGTGAGACATCCATATCTACCAAAAAAAAAAAAAAAAAAAGAAAAGAAAGAAAAGAAAAAGCCAGTCATGATAGCATGTGCCTGTAGTCGCCTGTAGTCTCAGCTGTTTGGGAGACTGAAGCAGGAAGATCATAGGAGCCAAGAATTTTGAGGCTGCCATGAGCCATGATCATACCCCTGTACTCCAGCCTGGGTGACAGACTAAGACCCCATCTTTAAAATAATAATAAAGTAAAAAGAGAGAAGGATCAGAATATGTGAAGAAAAATTTGGAAAACTGCAGCATCTAGAAAATATGTGATTTTTAAAAGTATATTAATGCCTAACAGAGAAATAGAGGAAGAAGCTGTCCATTTTTGAGAAACTACAATCAGTAACAACAATAATGGGAAATTAATAGCTGCAATTTGTTGAATAGCTGCCAGTTCAGTATGTGACTTCTGTAACAGCAATTCCTTACAAGAACCCCATGAGGTAGGTGTCATTATCCCAATTTAACAGATAATAAACAAGGGCACATTAGTTCACACAACTGAATATCTGAATCATTTTGGAAGATTTTAAAAATAAATTATGGTTGGGCCTTATACCAGAGCAACTGTGATCAAGCCTGCTCTGCTAGCTGTGCAAAAAGTTCCCTCCTTCTCTATTTCCAGAGTCGTTACAGTGGAGATATGGAAGAACAGCCAGGGAAAATATTTCCCAGCCTCCTTTGCAACTTGGTGAGCCAAGCGAGTTAGTGGAACCTGAGCAGAAGTGATGTGTGTCAGCTCTCAAACTGCACATGCCCGATGACTCCACGAAGCAATCTACCTCTTACCTTATTAGAACCTAGACATGGCAATCGAGCCTTGATCATGCTGGTGATTTAAAGGCCTTAGATCCATGTTGTCCAAAACAGTAACTACTGGCCACATGTGGCTGTGTAAATTTAAGTGAATTAAATTTAAATCAAAGGACAAATTTGGTTCCTCAATCACACTAGCCATTCTTCAATCACTCAAGTGTCATCTGTGATGAGTGGCTATTGTATTGGACAGCATGGATATAGACTTTCCATAACTGCAGAAAGTTCTCTTGGGCAGCACTGCCCCAGAGGGTGAAGTAGCCCCCAGGATGATACAGGAAAGAGCCTGCATCTGCTTGAATCTCCGTGTGTAGAGATCCACCTTCTGATCTAGACCCTTGGACTGTTACATGACTAAGAAAGATTTTCTTTTAATAAATCATAAAATTTAGGGGCCCTATTTGTTGTAACACTTAAGACCACCTTAACTTTCAAACCAACAGAATCTAATTTTCTGAAGATGGTATCTATACCTCAGTATGTAAAAAAAATATAACCCAGGGACAGGAGTGAAAGGAATGGCATCAGCAAATTGTCAGACAGGCAGCTCCAAGCTCCTGTCCACCCACGGAAACATCAAACATCAAATAGCAAACAGAACTGGTCAGGAAAAGCTTTCAAAGAACTCTAGAAAACATACAAAGGCTTACAGCAACCAAGGGGATGCTGAGCCAACAAAAAGACCGCTTAAAAATGGTAGGAAAGCTCTATGACATTTTTACTTGTCCTTGTTCCACTCCCTTTCTTGACTTGGCAGCATTCAGGAAAACAGAAGCCCAGGTTCCCAGTGAGGGCCATTGGTGCCTGATTCTGGAAAGAGTAGAGCAGAGCAGAGTTTATTAGCAAATTATTGTGTATGCCTGTTCTAACTTGCCCAGGAGCTACCTGAAGGACAGATGCAAGGTGCTCCTCTGTGTGTCACATAATCTGGAATTTACTGAGGCCTGAAAAGCTGTAGGCATTGCTCAAAAAACACTAGCAACCCACAGATGCATGGAGCAAAAGATTAGGTGGAGACATGCAATAGGCCATGTAAGGCCCTGAAGGAACAGTGAGGTAGAGTTTCTTTGAAAAATCTGTGCATTCAAAAGCAGGTTGTATAAGAGAAACTTTAGAAAGCCATGCACATGCTCAGAGATGCCCTGAGAAGAACCTCAGCTTTCAGATCACACTCATCCCTCAGCTCAATGCACAACTCCTAAGTGTTGAAAGAATTCTCTAGCACAGGGATGATCTGCAAAGATTGAGAGTGATGTTTGTTTGTTTGTTTCTTGTGTGTGTGTTCTGTTTTGTGCTCTCTCAGTCTCTCTCTCTCTCTCTCTCTTTATTTCTCTCTCTGGCTCTCTCCTGTTGAAGGAAATCTGCTAAAACTAGCTGAACAGCAGTTAGGGAACAGAGATTACAGTGACCACACATGATAAAGAACACAATCTTTCAAAAATAATTTTTAAAAGTTACTAAACGTGTGAACTACTACTGTTGTCGACAATCAGAAAAAAATAGCAAAACCAAAGGAAGGGAGAGTATATGATTTACAAGGTTACTACATTATAATATTCAAAAGTCCAGCTTTCAACAAAATATCAGGAAACATACAAAGAAACAAAGCCATAGTTCCTTCAAAGGAACACAATAAATTGTTATTTATGATTCCAATAAATTACAGAAACCATCCCTGAGGAAGCCCAGACATGAGACTTACTAAATATCATTAAAGAGCTAATTGAAAACATGGACAAATAAGAAAAGATCAGGAAATTATATATGAAAAATGACATTGTTAGTAAAAATATAGAAATTTTCATGTAATATATACAGAGATTTTGTTGGAGATGATGAAAAAGTTTTGGGAATAGTGGTAATGGATGTACAACATTATAAATGTCATTAATGCTCCTGAATTTTCCACTTAAAATGGCTAAAATGACAAATTATACATGAATTTTACCATCATATATCATTAAATACCAAAATGCATTCGAAGGTTCACAAAGGTTCCTTTGGAAATTTATTTTACACACATGCGAAGTTGTTCCCTGTTACTAAGCAGTGATAGGATTTAAATGATTATATCAAGGAGTGCCTAATAGAGTTCTTAGCATATACGTAGTCTGTTCTCAATAAATAATTCTTAAATTGTGTATAAATGCAAAAATTTTGACTAAACCACAGACATACACATCTGGAGTCTCTAAGGAATGGCCAACATTGGCCAAATTAGATCACACTGACATTAGTTTCCACTCTGTCACACACTTGCACAGATACACACACACATGCACACATTTTATTTCTTGCCTAATTCTTCCAATTCCATTTCAAGTATGACAGCAGTACAAGTATAGGAACAATTAGAAGAGGATAATTGGACATGGAATCAAGTTGTAAAACAACAACGTTGTCAAAAAAGGAGTGTTTTAGAAGTTCCAAACAGAAGATGATTAATGGTCAAAGACCAAAGTTCACATGCAGGTAAAAATGAGAGAAAATGATATTTTGAATGTGGCCGGAAAACAAAAGAGAATGGGGAATGTCTGTAATAGCAACAACTGCACATGTAGAAAGAAAAACTTAGAAGATTTAGAAAGCTGTAAAGCTTAGAGTTAAGGGTGAAGTGTATACCACTATATTTTAGTATATAACCTATAAAATTGTAGGCGCTTTTAATATGCAAAAATAACAAATAGCACCAGGAGGTAGAAAAGTAAATAGAATAGGGAAGACAAAATATTGTCATGCACTTGTAACATTCTAGCAAAGTACTGAGCTCAAAAATAAAATTTAATAAATATTTGACCACTGAATGATATATTAGTTCATGAATTCTTAACAAGTGATAAAACTATTCATTTAGGGCTAAAGCAGTGGAAAATAAAAATATCTCCAAGAGAAGCCATGATTTATGTCATCACTGGCTTCAGTAATACATGGCATGGAAATGGCAATGGAACACTGGAGGCCAGGAAAGAGGGGAACAGAGAACCACCACAGGATACCCAGGAGCATGAAATTGGGATGAGATGGAAGTGACAGTGGCTTCCTGGAGAAAAAGGATAGAAGTTGATGATTAGAAAACATATTGAATAAGGATAAAGCTGGACTTTTTTGAAACAAAAGAAGCATAGTTAAAATTATAGTATGCATGAGGCCAGGCACGGTGGCTCACGCCTGTAATGCTAGCACTTTGGGAGGCCGAGGTGGGCGGACCACCTGAGGTCAGGGGTTCAAGAACAGCCTGGCCAACATGGTGAAACCCTGCCTCTACTAAAAATACAAAAATTAGCTGGGCATTGTGGCGCACGCCTGTAATTCCAGCTACTTGGTAGGCTGAGGTGGGAGAGTAGCTTGAACCCAGGAGACAGAGGTTGCACTGAGCCAAGATCGCACCATTGCACTACAGACTGGGTGACAGAGTGAGACTCTGTCTCATTAAAAAAAAAAAATTATAATACACATGATCTTAATTACCAGTAATTTTTAGAATTTTAGGATTGTAAGCTGATGCACACTGGTAAATGATATTATCATATCTTCCACTTCGTTTCCGGAGACTTGGAAATATATGAATTGATATTCCTCAAAGGGAAGAAGATGAGGATTGAGAGTAAATCAGGAATGACTTTTAGTTGTTTTGTTAAATAAATAATTCATCTGTGCAATTACATCTTTCCATCCACAGAGTCAGAGACAGTGCTGAATATAGATTATAACAAATTGGTGAGGGGAACACAGACATATCAGCGTAATTAATAGTAGTAACAAAAACATGGCATGAGAGACTTTTTCAGAAAATATACAACACAGGTTATTAATATAGGAATTCCAAGGGTTTCTACTTCTTCCCCCGCCCCACCTTTTTTAGAATATTATACCTTAAGACAGCATGTCTGGTTTAAAACTGAAAGAATGTGAAACCCTTGGGAATAGCGATACACTTCAATGACAGGACTCAGGCTGATGCTGGGCAGAACCAAAATGTCTTTGAAATATCCAAATAATAATATTTCTGGTAAAAATATATTTTATATGCCTTACTGTCAAAAGCTATAAATACAGAGTTATTCTACAGTTATCAATGCCATCATGAATATATTTTTGCTTTTTTCCAGTTCCTTAAGAAAGTGTTGTCAACAGCAATTAAAGAGCCTTGTGCTTATTTCACTTGGGAGAGCAAATGCACAAAACCTGAGCTAATCTCAAGTCTGGATTTAACAGTAAGATTAATTTGCTTGCTCCTGAGCCACATGGAAGGTTTTATTATGAAGCGAGCTCTGAAAGAATTTCAGCTCAGTATGTCATGCAAAATGTTTAGACTTTTGTTTATATACGCTTTCATAATTTACATAACAAACAGGGATATAATAAACTAGTCCAAAATTCCAAGGAATCAAAAATCCAGCTCTGTGGCTATTGGAGGATAATCCATGAATTTCTACAACACTGGAAATGTTCAGTAAATATTATTTTGGAGGAACATGATAATTAAATATCAATAAAATTTCTGACAGCAAAATGGAGGGTGACATGGAGATTTATTACAGGTCATTTCTTCAGTAGTGTTCTGCATTTGCACAAACTCCAATCTTTCTTAAATAAGGGTGTTAAAAGGCTGTAAGGCACCTAAGGGAATGGGAGCATCTCACTGAACCTAGAATATTCTTTTATGAAGTCTTTTGTGTCTTGTTACATGATTTGTTTTCTTTAGGGGAACTAGTCAAACTCATATCATATCTCCATGTCTTCTGCTCAGAATTTCTGTGTACAGCTTCTTATCTTAAAACAATTGAAATTGCATCTCTATTTTGTGAGAAAGGAAAATCGTATGTTCGTGAGGGTTTAAGATTCTGTATTTTCTGAAGAGATGAGACAGTACAGTTTGAGCATCCCTAATCAGAAAACCCAAAATTCCAAATGCTCCCAAATCCAAACATTTTGAGTGCTGTCATGATAACACAAGTAGAAAATTTTACACTTTTCCTCAGGTGATGGGTCACAGTCAGCACACAGACACACAACATACCGTTTATCCAGCATCCTCATGAGGAAGGTGCCTCCTCATCCCTAGAAGACCCGTTTCCTGGATCCCTCCACCACTTCCGATGTTTCTTCTTACTTAAAAAAATTCAGTGTACAGTAACCTTTTAATCAAAACACAGCACCACAGGTGGAGACTGAAAGCTGCCATGGTTTGCTGTTGCTGTTGCTTAAGAGCTGATACAGGTGTCCGATGAGGCTACTGTGCTTCCTAGTTACCTTGGACACGTTAGTTTTTACTGTTTTATTTTCTGGCATATTATTTACTGTTAAGTACTTACATGTGAATAAATATAAGAACATGATTGCTTATTGGTAGCATGTAAATCCAGAGCCAAGAAGGATGGTGGTGATAAACAACCACAGGTGGTCCACATGCATGGCTGAGACAGTGACACCTTTGCTTTCTGATGGCTCAATGTACAAGAACTTGGCTTTATGCACAAAATTATTTTTAAAATTATATAAAATTACCTTCAGGCTATGCATATAAAGTGTATTTAAAACACAAACAAATTTCATGTTTAGACTTGGGTCCCATCCCCAAAATATCTCATGATTTATATGCAAATAGTCTCAAATCCAAAAAAAAAAAAACTTCCCAAATTGGAAACACTTCTGGTCCAAAGCATTTTGGATGAGAGATACGCAACTTGAGGTAACTCAAGGTGAGGCCTTGAAATTTCTGCTACTCCCTCCCACAGGCCTAGAGAATATCTCTCTTGAAGGTTCCATAATATGCCACCCAAATTCATCAAGAAAAAGTTCTATTTTCCAACTTACAATACAGGAGCTCAAGTGGCATTTTTCACCAGTCCCACGCAAATTTTCATTTTTCATGTTATAGCTGTTGAATTTACTCATAAAATAGCAGGATATGTCCAAGAACTGACTCTGCATATCTCATACCATCAAAATAAGCCATTCATTAAAGGCCTTCTCTATGAATGCAGACTGTAGCCAAAGAATCAAAAAGGGCATCAATGCAAAGAAGGCTGCTGGAGGTTAAATGACACAGCCAGGACTTGAAAACATCCTTGCCTAGCATTGTTGTAAAAATCAAGGCTGATCACAGAACAGAGAGATAGGTTAGTAGAAAGAGTCCAAAATATTAACAGAGACTCAGTCCGAGGTGATTTGGAAAAATATTTTCTTTGAAAAAAATCCTTTGCTGTCAGAATTGAAATTCATTTCTTCGTGTTGATAAGATCTTCAGGTTTTTAGTCCAGCTGTAGCACCCAGTGGGGCCTTTTGAGTTTAACAAACCCTTGGGACTCCCAAGACTATTATTGGCAACAGTTGTCCCCTCTCCACTCTGAGGGATACAGGACAGGAACCTGAGCTCATTCATGAGGACATCAGTCCTGAGGCCCCCTCTTCTGTGGGAGTTGTCATCATGAGAGTCTTCTCGGCCATCTGGACCCTGTTTTCTCTGGCTCGCCAGGCGAGGGCTCACATATGAAGGAAAAGACTCACATGGACAGAGTGCAAAGACTTCCCAAGCTTAGAAGATTCATGAGCCACAAGAACCAAAACCTTTGGTAACAATTCTATGGGCCTAACTAACAGCGTCTCTGCAAGAGACATGCCCAGTGGAAGCAGTCACCAGCGGCAGGGAAGTGCAAAGCTGTGATTTCCCATGAAGTGTTCATTGCTCAACTGCAATTTGCCAATCAGGGGTCGTTTTTACCACAAGAAATATTGCATGTAGCATAGTGGAAGATCCACCTTTTCTCAGGATGCTGGGAGAAGAGTCAGAAAGTTAATTAATTGTTACATTTTCCTAGAGAAGGGGTAACACTTCTCAACCCTTTCACTTGAGTTGGCATTTCCTCACTTGAGTTCTATGAAATAATATAATGGATGCAGTGCCAAAAAGAAAAATGGAAAAAGAAAAAAAAAATGTGGGAGGAAAACAGGAAGGCAGGGAGGGAGGGATGGAGGGAGGAAGCAAGGGAAGGGAAAAAAAGAGACAAAGTTTGTTGACAAACACCTGCTAAGCTCCATATATTAATGTGAACTTTGAAACTCCTAGAGGAAAATACGGCACATATGATTTCCCCTACACATCATATAGCACACTGTGTGCCACTAATCTCCAAGATGCCTCACGTTCTTATGAACAAAAAGAGTCCTTCCCTTCCCAAGCTGTTTTACCAAAACTGTTGTATAATGCTATTGCAAAAAAAGCTAGAGTTACATTGCATTGTTAAATAGAAGAGGGTTTCCTTAATTCTTTTTCATTAGTACAGGTCTTATCACTGATCCTTACTCACCTTTGGAATTTTCTTGGATTCAAGGCTCTACTCTGATTTAAATTCCCAATAGCAAAATGGGAATTCAAATGAGCTAATCAGGAGAGCAACATAACCAAACTAAATTATTTTAGTTTGCATTTCGGCAAACTGGGATTGTGCTGAAACAGAATTTAATACACATTAAATTAGAGTGACTGGCAAGGACCCGGAATAATTTAAAATTCTACAAAATCAAAAATCTAAATTACAGTAAGTGAACAATTCTGCATGTATCAGAATATAAGATGGTGACAATAAATGCAACCCTGCTCGGCCCAGTTAGTTCTGTCCTCTATAATACAGTATTTAGTTTTTCTTAATAATTTTCTACCTATGGCTATATAGAGAAATTTTAAACTTTTGGTTGTTTGATTTTTAAATCTGTAAACTCATAAGGATATGTGCATAAGAAAACGAGTTTATGAAGAAAATAAATTTTCATGCATTAACGATGATACGAAATTTAAAAGTGTTCAATTTCTTTATAAATGCCTGTTACATTTTTAACTAGAAATACAATTAACAAATAAACTATACAGAAAAGTCTTCTTGTAGCATATTAAATTGAATGACTGATTCCAGGGAGGTTAATGCTGGTACTGCTTTTAGACATGATCACCGTTAGCTATGAATATGAACATCACAAAGAGCAGTGCTGGGAAAAACATGATACGTTCCTCCTCATATTGTGGACCAATACAAAAATAGGGTTTATGGCCACATATTTCAAACCTTGATCAGTAAGAAAGCCTGAGTCCTGGCACAAATGTAAACACGGGCCATAAATTAGCCATAAAAAGGGCGCTACACTGTTCAGGATGCGAGGCCCTGTCTAAATTTACAAGCTGTTTGCAGAGCCTCTGAGACTAATGGATGAATAAAATATTCCAGCCAACTAGTAAAGTAAGTACTATGCATGATTGAAAAGTACTGTAGCTGACTGCTCTGATTAATGAGGGGTAAATTACCATTAATGTTTGTAATAAATGTGACAGACTATATTTCACTGAGAAGAAGCCAGGGCGCTATACCGGCTCTACTGGTTTAAGAGCTGTGGATGAAATGATGACTAATTAATCACTGGGATGTTTTAGAATTCTGTAACACTTTCTGTCTAAAAGCAGAACAGCCCTTATGTGCTGCCTAAGTGGGGAGCTGTTCTGCCCTTACCTAACCTCTTCTGGACCAGGGGTGGAGTTTTACTGACTTTTCAGATCTGTTTTTGTTTTGAGGCCACATATAATATCACGTTTAAAGAAATCCAAGTCTCTGAGAAAAGGATGAATTTGAGCTATAGTTGTCCTCATCCATTACAAGTTTACAAGTCATCCTTGACACCCACTGCCTAGGGAGATGGAATAAATCTACCCTGATGAAGCCTGAGTCCGGGACTCAGCTATGAGTGGGACCTCTGTGCAGGTGGGCTCGGGATACATAAAGGAGGCATGTGCAAAAGGCCAAGTAATCCAATTCAAGGAGCCAGGTGGAGCTTTGCTCAGGTAAAGAGTGGTGGGCAAGAGCTCATTGCTAATTCTTCATCAAGAGAGTCTGGCTGACTTAGGAAAGCTCAGAGCTGGACGGGCAGGCAGAGGCCTGTCCAACAAGCCAAAATCAGGGCCAGGATCAGGGGAAGTCAGAGGCTGCATCAACACTGACAGACAGGTGCATTTACTGAACTGTGTTATTAATATCCAGGTTACACAGATCCTGACAATCCCAAATCGGGGTCCAGGCATATCAAAGCCTGTCCTCAAAGAGCCTATGGTGACTGGAGGAAAAACAAACATGCTCAAATTCCTATGGAGCTATCCCTGTGTGAATCATTTCTGGCACCAGGGTTCTAGGCCTGTGTGCCTGCTAAGCCTCAACAGTATCACCAGAACGCACCTGGAAAACGGATTTGAATTTGTGACTGAGATCAGCTGTGTGGTGATGCTGCATAATCACCATCATCATCATCCTCCCTTATTTTTGAGAACTATTTCATTTTCCAAAGCATTTTCATACATATTTAGTTTCTCACTTAATTTTCACAATCAACTTGTAAGATAAATAGATGGTAGTTTCCTCACTTTAAAGTATCTGATGCTCAGAGAGGTTAAGGATTTGACCAAGATCATACACTTAGTGTAAGAGTTTCAAATATAACTCAGATATGTTGATCTCTAGTTCAAGGCTGTCCATCCCCACAAACACGTAAATAATGCATGAATTAATATATAATTCAAATATCCATATATTCATTCATTTACCAATGCACCTTTATACCTATTTATCTACTCATTTACCCATTCATCACCTCCTTCCCTCCGTCCATCCACCTGTCAATCCATATTTCAGGGTTTTTATTCCACCAAGCACTGCGTGATTTGGCTCCCATATTCCTCTCCAGTGTTATTATGAATACAACATTGCCAATGTACGAGCCCACGTGTATCTAATTCTACAGCTCTTCCGTTTTCTGAACTACCATTTTTCTCTATCGATCGATCGATCAATCGATCTATCAAGTATCTCTAGCTCTGTGTCTCTCCTGTCTCCATTTTAGTGAGGTTCTGGTTAAGTGGAATCTTCCTCACAATGAATTTCCAGACACACATAGGCCAAAGTGGCTCATTTCTGTGCCCCACTGGCATCTGGCACACCTCCAAAGAATCCCGATACACTTTGCAGAATCAGTCATCTGACTACTTTGTTTTCCTCTATGGTTTCCAGGAAAGGGCAAAGACTCTGTCTTCTGTGTCCATTTATTCCCTATTTCTAAGCGCAGTGTTTTATTCATGGTAGAAATTCAAGAGTTGCATTAAATGAGTAATTAATTTATTAGTAATAGTAAGTAGATACTTAAAATAATTTATTCTCTAAAATATGCTAAACATATAATGATAATGGTTAAAAGCATGGACATTAGATCCAGGTAGCTTCCACTTCCATTGGCCACTGTCTTACTCTGTGACATTCAGGAAAAAGAAATAACTACTCAAAATTTCTGTTTCTTTAGATGCAAAGTGGGTATATATTATCTGCCTTATTAGAGTGCTGGTGGATTGAAACAATGAGTGTAAAACACTTAGTATGGTTTTTGGAACATAGTAAACACTAAAAAAAATCAGATGTTATGATTAACCTTTATTTTTTTCTCATGAATTTTTGGGGTTAAACTTTTTCTTTTTTTTTTCTTTTTTTTTTCCCCCAGAAAAATGCTGTACTGAAAACAATGGCCCAGACACAAGCACTGTGGAGTCTGTTACTTTAGTGGAAAGTATCCCTGCCAGGCTAACACAGAGGGCTAGGCTGGTGGGAACCTGCTAGACAAGAATCCTAGACCGTGGCTGGGTCAGGATGCATTCTGAATTTCATACTAGAATCCCCTATAACTGGTGGAAAATTACCAAAGGCTTTGTTTGGGAGTGCAACTAGATGACCAGTCAGAAAGTCAGTGAGTCTGTACTCACTGCCTACTATGGGCTGGATAACCTTGGCCTGGAGGTGTATTGTCGATCAGGACAAAATCAACAGCGTCAGAGATTTCTCTTCCAGTGACAGACAGTGAGGGAAAATAAAATAAATAAATTTGATGATTCCAGACAAGGATCAATGCTAACAATCAAATAAAACTGGGAATTGTGATAGAAAGCAACAGGGGCTGCATTTGCTAGGTTGCCAAGACAGCCCCACTGAGAAAATGACCTTTGAGTTGGGACCTGAAAGATGAGAAGGGCCCGGGGAAAGTGTAAGCAGCAAGGACTTGGTGGGTTGGGATTTCCAGTTGAAGAAATAACAACTGCAAAGGCCATTGTCAGTGAGCTCATGGGAAACCAATGTGATGGTAAGCCAAAGGACAAACAGGAATTGGAGGCGAAAGAGAGGCTGCTGCACGTCTCAGGGTCCGTTTGCAATGCTTCAAGGGAGCGGCAGCAATGAGCAGTTAGACCCACAGTGGAAGATGAGACAACAGGGGAGAAGATTTCATTTTCCTTCCTCTCATCTTCTCAAGACCCCAAATAAGAGGCATGAGGAGTGGAGGAAAAGAACAGCAGGCAAAAAAAAAAAGGGGATATTCAGTATCTTTTGATTCTGGTCAAGACTTCAGTGGCAAATTAAACAGTATGTTAATTTCTATATCATTTTTCCCACAAATAATTTTTAAAACTTTCAGTAATGTGATATAATTTGAGATTAGATCATGCCACTGAGTTAAATAGCATGTGCCCAGCAGAGAAACGGTATGATGGCTTTAGTTTTGGAATGCTGTTTGCTTCCTCCTCTCTCTCCCTCCTATCTCTTTAGAGACACACACATATTCAGCAACCTGCACTGGCAGCTTCTGCCAAGTAATCCAGCCAGTACATATCCATAGTCCCTAGAAACATATTCTTGTTTACTCATCAGGTGAATTTCCTATTTCTTGAAATTTATCCTGGACACCTTCCAAGTTGATGACATAAAATTACCATTCATGCCAAGGTGGAAATGGAAATAGAACTAGTGTTGTTAGAAAGCATGTCCTATGGACTTATGCTTTGCCTTGGAGAGAGGCTATTCTTTCCAATATTTATATTATTTGTTTCCATTCAACTAGTAAACCTAATAAATATACACTCGTTCAGTTCTCCGTAATTACACTTATTAAGCCCAATCTTCCCCTTGCCACACTTGAGAGCCCTAGCTGATCACTCTGGCTTGTAAACATTTGTAAGGCGAGAGCATCAGTAGCCAAACACAGAGAACCATATAAAAGAATATCTGGAATGGATCTGAGATATTAATCTCAATTCATCCTCTAATTTTACAAAAATGAAACATGGAATCCAAAGAAGCAAGTGATTTTCTCAATGTTTTACCGTGAGGTTGTGGCAGGACAAAGTCTGAGCCATCACAGACTCCAAATGCAATGATTTTTCCTCCTCAGCAGAAATGAATGACAGCTTGTTATCCAATAGACAGTCTGAGCAGGCTGGTAGTGTGGGAGACAAAAGGACTAAATGACAAGGTAGCAGTCTGCGCACACACTGAGAACAGGGCTTTGCTTTGGGTTCCTTTGGCCAGACAGCACACATTGGAGAGGCCAGGAGGTAGATGTAAATGTAAGGAGTAATTTCTTGCACTTTGTAAAACATATTGTTCTGTGTACTAGTCTGCTATTCACACTCTTTTCTGTTTATGATCTGGGGTATGCACACTTCTGTACTACTCAGCTATGTGCTGGCAGCAAAGGGTTGCCAAACATGAAACTACACGGGAAATCTGACTTATTATGAAAGTCAAAATTTTATTTAGTGGCAAGTATTTTAAATAATTACTACTATGAGAAACATGGACTATGGGAAAACACTATTATATTCAACTCAAATTTTAAGGTGAAAAATGAGATTTCAAAATAATTTCTTATTTTAAAAAAAAGTCTTTTTGAGTTACTCCCTTTATACTCCCAAAGGGTATGAATTCTTTTCGCCTCAAGAATTCCTAAGGGTTTGAAGGCAGAAGAATATTCAGGAGAATTTTAAATTAAAAATTTAATCAGCTGATTAATTATTTAATTTTTAGAAACAACATTGGTATGAAATATTCTGACCAAATAATATTCTAAATAATATTTCATAATGAACCATTTTAATCTCGAAATTGCAAAACAGTATACATTCAAGAACTCATGAATTTTTAAAACTGTATGGCTGAAAAATAGCTTTCTGCATTTGCTTCAAAATTTTCTCTGCAGATGTGTCAATTCTGGCATTTTATAACAGCCTAGAGGGAGACCTTCCAACCTCAAGTCTGACAGCAAATCTGTCAGCCCACCATCAGCTCTGTGACCAAGAAATGTCACATGTGTGCAGAAGAAGGTCCTTGAGGAGTCAGGAGAAGGAGAAATATGACTCTTTTTAGTTATGGTTCCTCTTTTTTCTATTTTAAAGACATATTTATCCCTGCAGAGTATAAGCAGCTGTATTTTGAGAGAGAGTTTTTCATTCAAGCTAAGCGATTGCATCTTCATATATATGGTTCTAAAATACTATTACATCCCTACTGTGTCCCAGACGCTGGGTTAGGAAGCTGCATTGCTTAATTTTTTGCCTGAGGCTTTTAAGTCTTTTAACTGCACAGAGTGTTCCTTATGCAAGTTTTTGAGTTCATGTAACAATTCTACCTATTAGAATGTTCCTTATCATAATGAACATGCTGTGTCGAACAGAAGACTAAAATACTTTGACCATGGATAGTAAGAGAATAATGAGAAAGCATATTCTCATAAGATAATTGTCATTAAGAAAAGATGACAAAATCACCTATGCTAGGGTTTCCTGAAAGAATGATAGGTTAACAACATATAGTAGAGAAATGCATAGAGACATACCATAAAGAGCAAAACACAGTGTGGCGTCCTCCAATAGGATGATAGGTTATGGATTGTTTCAATGGATGTATATTTCAGGTATTTTCCTGCATATAAAGCTTTTAAAGGAAAATAATGAAAGTAAAAAGGAAACAGGCATGAAATGTCTTACTTCTTCAAAGGGGTGGTTCAGAGAGGCAGGCATCATAAATGTGATGAGCTATGGTAATCGGTATGGATGAGCAAATCCAGGCAGGGCTCTCATGACTCAGGTCCAGGTGACAGTAATCAAAAGATCTTCCACTGATCATGGAAAGGCCAGGAGTGAAGTCTATATTCCTTTAATTAAAGCCCTGACTTCTGGTAACGCTAAGAAAGCAGGAAGAATATCCAGTTCTGTAACCCATTCCCACCCAAGATTTAGTAGATTTACTCAATATCATCATAGAGAATGATGTAAACGGATGATGCCAAATACCCTTATATTTATAAACACACACGAGACTTATCTGGCAATACAGTAATTTATTCTAAGTCACAATTCAATACATCTTGTTTATGCGTGAGAACTTGACTCCCTCATCAAAACAGACACAGCCTAACTCAGCCAAAAGATCAAATTTGTTATCCGAACCCATGCGGCACTCATTTGTTCATGACTTACTAATTTTTCAACATTTATTAGCATCTACTGTGTGTCTGGACATTATACTAGGTGCTGAAGCTACAGAAATAAATAATCAGACCCAGTCTCTACCCACAAGGAGCTCACAAACTTGTGGGGGAGAAAAACATATGAAGAATAAACTGTAGACTGAGACATGCTGTAATTAATAAACAAGAGGGCATGAAAAGGTACTGCAATGGGCTGAATATGTCCCTCACACCCCCAGGTTCATTCACATATTAAAAATCCTCACACTCAAGGTGATGGTATTAGAAGGTGGGGCCTTTGGAAGGTGATTAGATTGCAAGCCCTCATGAATCGGGTTAGTGCTCTTATAAAACAGGTGTCAGAGAGCTGCCTCATTCCTTCCAGCATGTGAGCACTCAGTGAGAAGACAGCTGTCTATGACAGCTAAGATCTGCTGTGGCCTTGATCTTAAACTTCCTGGTGAGAATGAAAATTAACTTTGGTTGCTTATAAGCTACCCAGCTTATGGAATTTTGTCATGTAGTCTAAATGGACTAAGAGGGACACGTACCTCTAAATGAGGGAAAACAGTCAATAGTCAGTGAAAACGTCACTAAAGGGGTAACCTTAGACCTGAGACTTCAGGTCAAACTTGAAATTCTCCAGAAAAAGAAGAAGTACTGTGCAAAAATAGATAAATGTGAAAGCATGGACTTTATTTCCGGGACCAGCAATTGATTTTACCCAACTAAAATATAGTGAGTTTATGGAGGTCAGTGACAAAAAAAAAATAGTAATCAAGTCTGATGATGAAGAGCGGGAGCCTAAATAGCGAGAAGCTTTGTATACAATGCACAAGCACTTTCTTGTGGTAAGGTGGAAACCATGATGCCTTTTAGGCAGCTGAGTATATGATCAAATTTATATTTTTATAAGGCTCACCATGGATGGTGATGCATGGGTGATGAAATGGAGAAGACAAAACTGGAGAACTGGAGGCCGGGTGGGCTTTATGAGACCAGTGAGATACTGCAGGGAAAAAGATGCTGCAAGCAGGAAGGAAAGCAATGGCCTTGAGGGGGTAGTGAGGAGGAAGCTATGAGAGGTCTGCGGGAGATGGAACCAGCCAGGCTTGCTCTTCAATTGACTTGTGCAGTGAAGAGGAGAAAGTGTAATGGGAGATGAGGAGGAAACAAACCTCAGTACAGACTTTTTAGACCTGAAAAATAATCAGATCACAATGCATAAAAAATTGCTATATAGCCGAGTGACACTTAAAGAAAAAGATAGAATCTTCAGTGAATTCATTAGGAAACAGGTCAGGTTGACGAATTTAACAAAAGTTTAAATTTAACAATTTAGTAGGAAAAAATACTATAATTTCAAAAGAAAAAAAGATTAATTTTAGCTGGGTGCTATGGTGTGCACCTGTAGTCCTAGCTGCTCCGCTGGGGGCAGGGGGCCAGGGTAGGTGAGAGGCCCCTGAGCCTAGGAGTTCCAGTCCAGCCTGGGCAACGTAAAAAGGTCCCTGTCTCTAAAAATAAATTAATTAAACACAATTAAAATAATTTAAAAAGAGAAAATCAGGCAGTTAAATAGAAATTTTTCCCCAAAGTAGAAATAGTTATTCAAAGCAAAATGTGACCATTTTTAATGTTTATGGGCACATAATAGTTGTTCATACTTATGGGTTTGAAATACACAGTAAAATATTGTTAACCATAATCACCATATTGTGCTACCACTCACTAGATCTTATTTCTCCTACTGAACTTTGTTTTTTACCCATTAATCATCTCCTCTTTATCCCCTTGCCCTCCCCATTACCCTTCCCAGCCTCTGCTAACCATCATTCCACTCTACTTCTGTGAGATCAATTTTCTTAGCTCCCACATATGAGTGAGAACATGCAGCATTTGTCTTTCTGTGTCTGGCTTATTTCATTTAACAGAATGTCCTCCAGTTCCATCTACGTTGTTGCAAAATGTGATTCCTTAAAGCAGTAACCATTGTTACCATTTATATAGGGCTTACTATTTTCCCAGGTACTGTTCCAAGCATTATATATTAATCTTTTAATTGTTCTACAAAATATGCACAAAACGGATACATTATTATACCAATTTTTAAATGAGAAAACTGTGGCATGTAGAATTTAAGTGAGTCTCCCAAGATCATATGGCTAGTAAAAAGATTAATATATTCGAAATGCTTTGGCAAGTGTGATCAGAAAATAAAACATATATAGAATCTATAAATGAAGAAAAAAAATCAGGAAGTTGGGCAACAGCTACCGATATAATAGAGACTTAAGAATTGATTAGAAATGTCTACGTTCAACTTAATACCAGTAAATTTAAAATATTAAATTAAACTAAAATGTTAGGTAGTGAGAAAACTAAATAGATCAATAACATAGGGAAAATTAAAATGCTAATCAAAGACTTACCATTACCATCCTAAAGGAACTATTCCAAAGAATTCTAAGAGATATTTCTACAAAATTCTCAAAGAATTGATTGTTCTCACCTTATAAAAATTGTTTTAGAAGAAGGCAAGGCACATCTTCTCACTTAAAAGATAGGTATAGCTAGACACAGCCTGATAAAAAACCAATGCAGCACAAGAAAAGAAAAAACAAAACGTACTGGCTAATATAAGAACATAGAAAGGAAGAAATGCAGGGAGAGAAGGGGGGAGGAAAGGAGGGAAGCAAAACAATATCAAAACAAATCAAGCTGTACTTTAAAATGATAGAACACTATGACTGTATCAGTTTTTATAGCAAATGAGAGACTTAAGCCAATTAATTAAGGCTGAAAAGAAATTAAATAAAGATTACAGGCGTGGTGCCTCAAGCTTGTAATCCCAGCACTTTGGGAGGGCAAGGCGGACGGATCACAAGGTCAAGAGATCGAGACCTTCCTGGCCAATATGGTAAAACCCCATCTCTACTAAAAATACAAAAATTAGCTGGGCGTGGTTGCGGGTGCCTGTAATCCCAGCTACTCAGGAGGCTGAGGCAGGAGAATCACTTGAACCCGGGAGGCGGAGGTTGCAGTGAGCTGAGATCACACCACTGTACTCCAGCCTGGTGACAGAGCGAGACTCTGTCTGAAAAAAAAAAAAATGCTCAGTAGCCCCCACAATCAAATTTGGTGTCCATACCATCAGGAACAGTTTTTAAGTTAACAGCCTGGAATGTTCCCCTGGAATTCTTCCACCACTCCTGAACATGCAAACTGCCACCAACACCAACAACCCAGGGAATAAGTCCCTGCTCTAGGATGGCCCCTACTGTCCCTAAAAGCTGGCTGTTTCTGCTTTCCATGCGCTGCAGAGTGGACTCTCCCATAGCCCTTCCTGTTACCATTCTCTTGTGACTGTGTCTTCCTTGGGTCCCGTGATCAACTGAGTGTAGCTCACAGGCCTGTGTCCTAGCTGCCACAAGGTGAAGAGGGTGAGTTTCTGGATTCAACTTAAAATAGGCACAGGCCACAGAGTGAGATGTGAACCAGACAGGAATAGTGATAAAAGGTCTTGGAAAGCCAGAAAGTTTATCCTAGTAATGGAAGAATATTTCAACTTTAAAAATCTATTATGTTAATTTACTTATTATAGGATTAAAGGACATAAATCACAAATCTAAATAGATGATAAATTAAAAGATGATACAGATTGATAGAACAGATTTGTATAATATATAACAAAGGAGTAATATCAACAATATAAACAACTTTACAAATTCACAAAGAAAGACAAAAATCCCAGTAGAGAAGTGAGCAAGGCAGGAATGTGTAAGTCACAAAAGGGAATATTAAAATGCTTTTTTCTAAGCATATGAAAGATATTAAAACTCATTATAATCAAGAAAAATATTAAGAACAATAGGACAATGCTGTTGACTGGTTACATTGGTAAAATTTAAAATTTTGGTATTCTCAGGAGTGGTGAGGATATACACAAACAGATTGCCTTATAAACTATGGTGGTTGTAAGTTTGTTGCAGCCACACCACATGGCAATTCAGCTTCCGAATCTATTAAAGTACATACACTATGACTCAGAAGTTTCTCTACTTGTTACCTCTCCCAAAGAAACAGTCTCATGTATGTAAAAATAAGTATGTTCCGGATGTTCATGGCAGAATTGTAGAATAAATTGGTGTTTCAAATACCTATCATTGGTGAAATAACTAAACAAATGGTGGTCTATTCCAACTATTAAATCTCATGCTATGGTTAAAATGAAACAAATATACCTATATGTGCAAAGATAGAAAGTGATAGGATATGATATTGTTCATGTAAAATGTAGATTTATACACACAGGCATACACATAAAGCACCATATTTATTCCGTGGGTCCCTGCGTATGAGAAGCGATAACTCAGAGAAAGAGGTCTGGAGTAGCCCACACAGAACTAATCACGCCACCCAGCTTTGTGGGAGCTGTAGTGGGAATAAACTTGCAAACTTGGGGATTGTAGTCAAAGAACAGTAGTATTAACATTGATTTTATAATGTTGATAAGAAGACCAGTAGAAAAGGAGAATGTAAAGACACGGGAAAGTGGAGGGATTGGTAGTTTGAGGTTCTTCAGAGGGCAGGAAGTGATAGGACCTGGAAGACAACTTGAGGAGTCAGGTTTACACAGGTAAAGTGAGAGCTCTTTTGTCACCCAGAAGGGAAAAAATAGATGAGTTCAGCAATGGTTCATCCACAGGTTGGTAGCTGAGTTTCCATTTAGTGCTTCAGTTTTCTCAGGAAGCAGAAAAGTTAAAGTCTAGAAAAAATAAAAAATGAGCTATGGAGAAGGGGAAATGTGTAAGCAGCACCAACCTCCAATGGGATTGGTGGAAACTGTGGGTCTGTAATAGCCTCGACTGAGCAATTTTGTGATGTCCTCTAGCAGCTCTCAGCCTTCCAATCACAGGCAGAGTGATTCCAAGCAGCAGGACTCATCTAGACAGGGATGTTCAAGACCAGTAAGATGAAAGCACTACCAGGCAAGGGAATTAAAAATATTGATACAAGAGAGTGGGAGTGAAGGGCCATGAAATGCTACAGAGTCAGAGAAGGAGGTAAAGATCAAATTGAGCTGCTGTGAATGGAGAGACAATGGGAGACAGGTCACAGGGCCCAGAGGCTCTAGAGGAGTAAAGGAGTTGAAAAGTAAACACATGCAACTGTAGGGTGGCGTCAGAGACTAAGATTCCTAGATGAGGTATTCCAGAAGTGGGGCAGTTCCAGGCAAAGTCAAGGTCCAATCTGCGGATAACCAAAGAAGGGTAGAGGTGTAGGCCACTTGGGACAGAAAGCAGAGGAAATGGGGAGGCTGGATTCTCAGATGGGGCATTCACAAGGGTGGTGTGACACAGGGTTAGGAGACACTCACTCAATGCCAGCAAACAACTAAGGAAGGGGTGGCGAGGACGAGCACAGCCTCTGGAGTCAGGTAGATGAGTTCAAATGCCTGTTTTCTCCAAAAAGAGATACCAATCAGGCACCTTTCCAAGCACCAATCTCGGTTTGCAAAAGAAAGTAAATAGTACTTTGTTGACATTAAGAGAAATAATGTATATAAAGCGACTACTTCAGTGCTGGCAAATGGTAAGTATGCAATCAGTGGAAAGGATTGTATTTTTAAATCAAGACTTGATAGCTATCAATCCCCTCTTCTGTGGCATTCTAGTCTTCTTCAGCATGAGTCTTCTATCTTCCCTTTTCTACATTATGTTTCACCCTCAGTGATACATCCCCTCACAGTTACTGCATTGCCAGAATCAACATTATCTCACAAATTAACACCTTGCAAATTTTCCCAATATGCATGATTATCTATCTATCTATCTATCTATCATCTATCTATCTGAGTCTTTAGGTGACATCACTAATAATCTTCTTTAGGAAAAGAAGATAATTCCACCAGTTGGGATTAGCAGACATCTGTACTCCACACAGCTATCGAGAATCGAGAAAGATGTTTGGCCAGTGCTGATCACAGATCTCCAGCTATTATTATTGCTAGTTACCTAGAAAAACTATCCACAATTCATTCAAATTGGTCCTGATTGTAAAATTGCTTTAAATTAAGGGTTGGACATCTTTCTCATAAGCCTATATTAAGAACTATTCTGATTAGAATGATATTTCCTCTCTGAGGACATCTTACATCCTCAGATAAGGACCTATGCTAATTCAATGTTACATACACAGTGCATGATGTAAAAAATTGGGGGGAACTATATTAGTGAGGTTGATGACAAGTGTCCTTCATTGAAAAGCAAAGAATTAACGGTCCACTGAAAAGTTAATATACAAAACCAAGGGCATATAGCAGTGCTTGTGCAGTGAATCCTCTGTCCTTCCCATACCCTTCGTAAAAGCTTTGTCTGAACTCTAGCACAAAGTAGACGATAAACTGGAAAGAAGTTCACAAAGCTTAACTAGCTGCACAACCTTGACCAAGTCATCAAGTCAGTTTACCTCCTTTGATCTCAGTCCCCTAAACAGAGAGAAAAAACAACACTGTCAAAATGATAATCTATAAGCTTCCTTCATCCTTAATATGGTTCTTATTTCAAAGTGATTCTATTTCAGATAGCATTTATTTTAAGTTTTTAAAAATTGTGAAGAGCTTGTACCACTTGGAGGGGCAATATTTCAGTGCCTTTAAGTCAACGTTGACACCATTGCTATGAGGATTAACGTTAAATTAATACAGAAGAAAGCATTTTCAAATGTGTAAAGTTTGTATAAATACTAAGGAATTTTTGCCCAAATTTTACCTGTTTCTAATTAGATAAATTTCTTAAAGAATCATAAAGTAGAGAAAAGTCCAAGAAATGTACATTCTGGAGTATGCTTTTCATCTAATTCATAGATATTTTATGTTATAGATCTGAATGCAATATGACCCAAGATGCAAGTACAGTGTCAAAAATTTTTCAGTCACACACCTCACAATATTACAATTAAATAAATATACCAGTTACTCATTAAATTCATCTCAAGTAACAGATTAAATATATATTGCAGAAAATCATAAATATACCACAATTTTCAACTTTGACATTTTCTGCTTATTATTGCTTTGACACAGATGAAACCAAGAGAAGTCAAAAAAATGGACAAGGAAGGTCAAAAGTACTATGTGGATGGACTCTAAATATAAAGTGTTGACAGTGGGATAGTTTAGACAAGGAAAGACAATGATATCTACTACTTAAGCTTTTTGAAGTTTGGTTTTGTAGAGGGAATTTTAAACTCTATCCTGTCTTCCCAGGGTATACTGCCTAGTCAACTTCCTTTGCCCTTTCATTGGTGTGGAATAACATGGAGGCACCATTTATTGCTGCTTACTTGCCAGAGCACAGGAACTATTATCTTCCATGTATGCAATTTCCGTTGGAAGATGAGTCAGTAGAAGCTGGTATTAGAGAATTTCTGTGATACCTTGAATTTCTCACCACAGGCTCAGGAAATCACAGTCTTAAAGTTAACTATAAAACTTATGTTAGAGGCAACACTATAGCTGGCTATAGGAAAGTGTTTCACCTTTAAAAGAATAATTTCCTCATTCTTGATTTACTTGTATAATACATAATAAAAGCCCAAGCTTACTTATTATAATTCATTTTGCTTTGAGTATCCTATAATCATTACCTAGAAGCATCTCCACGGTATCACAGAAAAAGTTCTGGAAGTTACAGGTCTTGGAAAATAAGCACAAAACTTAAAATATTTATGGAACCAAGTGGGAAGGAACCTTTGAGCATCATTATATTCTATATTTCTTAATATATATCTGTGCCTTTGCTAAAATAAATTAGGAGTATTCTGAGGCACAGTAGTCTTTCCTCATTTATTTACAAACCCCTTTTGCTGATTTATAGTGAGAAAACATCTAACATGTACTCTTCTTTCATATGGTGTACAAGGAGATACAAAGGAGTTGCTGCCGCATGTGAAATGAGTGTCTAATGCCTAAATTTCCTTCAAATATTGACGCATTTGATTCGTCTCAATACAGAGGCATAGTTACTTTGCAAGGAATTATAAAGTATCTCAAAGCTTCAAGATTTGTAATCTAATTAAAAATACAAGAGATTGTTTCCAATGTCAGGCAAGAGAGTGCTTTCTTGTCTTTTGTGAAAAGACAATTGGAGAGAGAAAATTAATGATGCAAATATCCTCCAAGACATAATCCCTGCATATAGGATCTTTTATGGACTCGACCCTCATACAAGTTCCTTGATGAAAGTGAGGGTGAAACTTATTTGGTAAGATATATGTTTTAAGGAGGCCATTTCTAGCTGCTTTATGGAGAATGGATTCAGAACTGGGCATGGAGTGGAGGTAAGAAAATCTACTAGGAGGAAATCATACTTGACTGATAACGGTCCATCCATGATGACTTTGATTAGGGTAGTGGCAATAGAGATGAAGAAAATTGTTAGAATTAAGAGATATTTTAGAGGTAGAAATAGTAGAACTTGTGTATGTAATATACAAAATGATAAAAGGGGAAGGATTCTCAGATTTAGGGTTTGAGAAATTTGGAAGATGATGATCTATTTTATTGTCTGAGTAGTAGTACTAGGAGATGATGGGTGAGTTTATGGAGACAAGGCATGAGCTTGAGAGGCTTGCTATAACATCCAGATCTCAGAAGGGAAGCCTGAGATGAAGACACACATCAGGGAATGGCCAGCATACGTGGGCACACTTTGAGCCTAGGAATAAATACAGAGTACATGTAGAGATGAGAACAAGGGAAGCAACAAACCACGGGAACTCCTGAATGTAGGTGCTGGGTACAGGAAAAGGATCTGGCAAAGGAGGCTTCGAAGGAGAATCTTGTGAGTTAGAAAGAAAACCAGGAATGTGATGAAAGGAGAAGTGAGTAGTCAACCATATTCAAGGTATTACTCAGTGAGGAAAGTCTGGGTGATAAATACCTATAACCGATGTACCTTGCCAGTAAAGGGTTGCATCACATACTTCCATAGACAAGAAAGAATGAATAGAAGCAAAACGATATCTGTCCTGCCCACCATGAACACATGACATTAGGGGTCATTCCTGTAGGGTCACTTTGGAAGTGGAAAGAAATGAAATTAATTTACTAGCAGCTTTTATGAACCTAACCTATTTTTCAATGTGTTAGCATTTCTAAATTGCATAGTACTTTCATATGTTAAAAGTTACCTTATTAGTATTTTTAAGAGCAGAATTTTCTAATTTCTTGGGCACTTTTAAAACGTTTATTTTCTCATCAAACCATAGCTTAGACTTCAAGTTCTACCAAGATGGAGTAACCCTATTTCTTTTAGGTCCTTCCTCTACTAAAAATTGTGGACATATGGCCAGTGCAGTGACTCATGCCTATAATTCCAGCACTTTGGGAGGCCAAGGAGGGCAGATCACTTGAGGACAGAAGTTCAAGACCAGCCTGGCAAACATGGCAAAACCCTGTTTTCTACTAAAACCAAAAAAATTAGCTGGGCATGGTGGTACATGCCTGTAATCCCAGCTACTTGTGAGGCTGAGACACAAGAATCGCTTGAACCTGGGAGGCGGAGGTTGCAGTGTGCTGAGATCGTGTCACTGCACTCCAGCCTGGGCAACAGAGTGAGACATTGTCTCCAAAAAAAAAAAAAAATTTTGGACATACGCAACAAATAAGCATAGAAGGACTGAAAAATGGGGGGTAAAAAAAGGATAGACATCCTAGAGACCTGAGAACTTCCGGAGCAACACAAAGATGAGTTCCCCGAGACAAAGCTCTGCAGAACCACCAACACAAAATGCCAGTTGTATTTTCTGAACAGAACAAAAGGCTCCAAGAAAAGCCTGTTCTCCCATCTAAAAGACTGGAAAAGGGTGGCCTAACAACAGAAACCCTTTTTGGCAATATCTGCCCTACTGCAGCCGAAAACCCAAAGAAAAACCATACCCTTCCCCCCTGGTTTTAGCAGGACTCAGCAGGAAGTAATCTTCCTCCCTATCCACTGGACAAAGTAGGGCACTGAATCCCAGTGCCCAGTGGTGGTGTGGGTCTGTGTGTGGAGCTGCTCTATCCTGGTTTTAAGAAACAATAGTGCACTGATTCCCCAGAAAAGATAGTATCAGCAGAGTATAGTAATGAGCTGAATATCTGCTTCCACCCAGTAGCAGGATTTAATCAGGTGAATTACCACTGGTTTCACTCCCCATCCTCCACTGTCAGCCAGCTTCAGTGGGAGTTGAGCTTCTGCCCCAAACCTACACCAGCAAAGTGGTGTGGGTAATGATAGCTTCCCGATTCTTGGTAGAAGCAAGACCCAGGGAGAGTTGTTCTTATATCCTTTTGGAGCAAACAGTGTAGCTATTTAGTAGCCTGCATTTACCAGGAAGATGTCAGCAAAGATGAGTAAGGAGCTGAATGCCCACCCTGTCCATCTAAAGGAAGGCAGTGGAAATCAGTTCTCCAATGGTGCTGGAGTGGTGCTGGCAAGGCAGGGTGGGAAGCTGAGCATACACGCCTGCTGACTACCACACCACACTTCAACAGGGGAGTGCCTGATGAGAAAAGAGTATTAAGTAAGGTCTGGATTCATATAATATAATATTAAATATCTAAAGTGTCCAAATCACTTATATATGATAAAGACTAGTATTTAGATTATATAAAAATCTCTCAAACCTCAACAGTAAAAAAATACTATTATCTTGGAAATTCACTCATACTAAGAATCATAAAAATTAAAATATGAATGAGATAAGACAATCAGCTGAATCAGATGTTGGGATTATGACAAGGATTTTAATGCAGCCATGATAAAAAAGCTTCAGTAAGAACCAAAGCCCTGTGTGCTACTGAAGTACTCCTCCTATCTACAAGAACAGAGTGCACATTCTTCTCCAGTACATATGGAACATTCTCTAATAGAGATCGTAAAACCAGTCTCAAAAAATGTTAAAAGATTGCAGCCATAAAAAAATCTCCAAAGATAATGGAATAAAGATAGAAATAATAACAGTGAGAAAATTGGGAAATTCACAAAAATATGGGAAATGTACAACAGAATATTAAACAACCAATACATCACAGAAGAAATCACAAGGGAAATTATAAAATACTTTGAGATGAGTGAAAGAAAGAGAATATACTGAAATTAATAAGATGCAGTGAAAGCATTGCTCAGAAGGTAATTTATAAATGTAAATGGTTGCATTTAAAAAGATGATACAACTGATTTTACAGAAATAGAAAGACTATAAGGAATACTATAAGCAAGTATATGCCAGCAAATTTGATAATCTTCATGAAATGGATACATTCCCAGAAACATACAACCTACCAAGACTGAAATAGAAAATATGAACAGACTTATAAATAAAGTAAGGAGATTGAATCACTCATCAAAAACCTCCCAACAAAGAAAAGCCCAGAACCAGATGGCTTCACTGGTGAATTCTACCAAACACTTAAAAAAGAACTAACAACAATCATCTTCAAACTCTTTCAAAAAATTTAACAAAGAGAGCGCACTGCCAAACCTATTCTATGAGGACATCATTACTGCAATACTAAAGCCAGACAAAAACATTACAAGAAAAGAAAACTATAGATCAATCTCCCTGATAAATATTGAAGCAAATATTCTCAACAAAATACTCTCAAATAGAATTCAACGGCACATTGAAAGGATACACCATAAACAAGTGTGATTCATTCCTGAAATGCAATATTTCAACATATAAATATCAATCAATACAGCACACCAAATTAACAGAATTAGGAGAAAAAAACCACATGATTATCTGAATAGATGCAGGAAAGTCATTAGATAATAATCAACATACATTCATGATAAAATCACTCAACAAACTAGGAATATCAGGAAACTACCTAAATATAACAAAGGTCATATGTAAACAGCCCTATATTAGTCTGTACTCACATTGGTATGAAGACATACGTGAGACTGGGTAATTTATAAAGAAAAGAGGTTTGATTGACTCACAGTTCCACATGGCTGGTGAGGCCTCTGGAAACTGACAATCATGGCGGAAGGCAAGGGGGAAGCAAAGTATATCTTACAGGGTGGCAGGTGAGAGAAAAAGTGTGAAGGGGGAACTGCCAAATACATAAAACCATCAGATCTCGTGAGAACTCACCATCAGGAGAACAGCAACCACCCCCAGGATAAAATCACTTCCCACCAGGTCCCTTCCTTGACACGTGAAGATTACAATTCAAGATGAGATTTGGGTACGGAACAGAGACAAACCATATCAAGCTCACAACTAACATTATACTAAGTGGTATAAGACTAAAATTATCTAAGATCAGGAAAAAGACAAGGATGCCTGTTTTTACTAGTTCTCACGTGAAGGTTTTACTTAGAGTATTTAGACAAGAAAAAAGACATCCCAATTGGAAAGGGATGAGTAAAATTATCTCTGTTTGCAGATGACATCATCTTATATGTACAAAACCATAAAGAATTCACACACACACACACACACACCTATTAGAACTAATAAACACATTCAGCAAAGTTTTGGGGTAGAAAATCAACATGCAAAAATCAGTTGTGTTTTCCATACAATCAATAGCCAACCAAAAAAGGAAATTAAGAAATTTTAACTTACTTCAATTTAAAATAACATCAGCATAAATGAAATACCCAGGAATAAACTTAACCAAGGAGATAAAAGACTTGTAAACAGAAAACAACAAAGTGTTGCTGAAAGAACTTAAAGATGCTACAAACAAATGAAAATACATGCCCTGTTATAGGCTAGAAGACTTAATATTATTGAAATGTCAGTATTATCCAAAGCAATCTACAGATGTAATGCAATCTCTATCAATATTCCAACAGCAGTTTTTGCAAAAATAGAAAAATCTGCCCTAAGATTTGTATGGAATCCCAAGGGACCCTAAATAGCCAAAACTATCTTTAAAAATGAAAGGAACTAAGTTGGAGGTTTCACATTTCCTGATTTCAAAACTTATTATGAAGGTATGGTCGTCAAAACAGTATGGTGCTGGCAGAGGCACATAATTATACACATAAAGAAATACACCCTCACATATATAGCCAAATGATTTGCAACAGGTTTGCCAAGACCATCCTGCTGAGAAAGGACAGTGCCTTTAAGAAATGGGGTTGGGAAGACTGGATATCCACAAAAGAATGAAGGTGAATTTCTCCTACCTTATACCACACTATATCATATACACAAATTAACTCAAAATGGATCAAAGGCCTAAATTAAAGACCCAAAACTGTAAAACTCCTAAAAGAAAACATAGGGGAAAAGCTGTATGACATTGTACATTACAATAATTTATCGTATATGACACCAAAAGAACAGAGAACAAAAGTAAAAATAGAAAAATTGGACTACATCAAAATTAATAACTTCAGTGCAGCAAAGGAAATAATCAACAGAGTGAAGAGGCAACCTACAAAATGGGAGAAAATATTTGCAAATATATATTTGACAAGGGATTAATATCCAGAATATATTAATAACTACTACAATTCAACAACAACAAAACAAATAATCTTATTTTAAAATGAGCAAAAAACTTGAATAGATATTACTACAAAGAGAATATATTATGGCCAATAAGCATGTAAAAAGATGCTCAATATCACTGATCATTGGGAAACTGCAAATAACAACCAGAATGAGAAACAAGCTCGCACTAATTAGAATGGCCACTACCAAAAAGTGACAATGAAGAGAAAATAACAAATGTTGACTAAAATGTGGAGAAATAGAAAAACGTGTACACTGTTAGTGGACATATAAAATGGTGCCACCACATCACTCTAGAAAATAGGATGGTAGTTACTAAAAAAATTAAGAATAGAATAACTATAAGATCCATCAACCCTACTTCTGGGTATATATCCAAAATAATTCAAAGCAGGCTCTGGAAAAAACATTTGCACACCCATGTTCACTGCAGCATTATTCAAAATAGCCAAAGGTGAATGTCCATCAATGGATGAATGGGTAAGTAAAATATAGTATATACACACAATGGAATATTCTCCAGTCTTAAAAAAGAAAGAATGAAATTC